>NT_187666.1:0-157710 GCF_000001405.40 Homo sapiens | reverse complement strand
GAATTCTTAACATTCAATATGGCCAACGGTCTTGGATAAACAGGCACTCTTAATCGCTGGTAAGAGTGGAGAACAATTTGTGACGATGCATTGAAAGCTTTTTATTTCTGTAACGTAAATAAACTTTAACCATGGTTTCTCATTATCCCACGGAAATTTAAAATGTGTTCAAGATTTCTCTACAAAGATAACCATCACTGTGCTGTGATGTTGAAAAAGACCAAAGGAAACATGGCAAAAAGCATAGTATCCATGAATAAATAATTGGTGAAATATACCATGGAATAGAATATTGTCACTAAAAATAATCACAAAGAAGACCTTTGTTGAAAGTAAATGTGTTAGGAGAAATGGCAGTCACTTCTTTTCACCCCTCTTTTAAACACCCTACTCTACCAATCAAAATGTTACTTGCTTTAGTGTCTCCAGATAATCTTTTATACACAACTCCAACCACTATCGACAGCATCACAGAACAACCTCACAACATACAAGTTTCATTATAATTTAGGCAAAAAATTACATGATCTATGAAGTAACAGACTAAAACATTAATAATATTTTCCCTTAAAATGTCATTTTTTTCTTCTCTGTATGAGATCACTTCTTTTAAAACAGTCAACTAGAAAATGAGTATTTATACAAAATGTGAATAAATTCAAACCACCACATAAATATATTGTAATATAATACCCTAAATGAGACTTTTGATCTTTTTCATTAAGTTATTCAACAGTTATGTCTTATTTTAGTAAAAGTCACAATCCTATCAAGTTTAATGCGGGAAACGCAGCACAACGAGTTCTGAAAGATAAGGAATATAAGCAACATCATGTTTTGTAACCTCAACTCCAGAAATGGAGCCTTTGAACTGGCAAGCAATTTATTCCATTTCCAAGGCAATTTTCCTATTGTACTGAAAATTTTACCTCAGTATTTAAAAACAATAAGATGATGAATAATGGATTTTTTTCAGAGACAGGAAAAGCGCAGAATCTTAAGTGTCTTTGTTGCCTGGTGTCATACACACTTAATTGGTTTGTCACTCAAGAAAAATCAACGTTTCCAGCAATTAACTATAATTCTGGAAACATATTTTTAAAATGAGTAAAAACAATTATGAACAAAGATGACAGAATGGATGATACCAAACCCAAGAGCACTGCCATGCTAAGAAACAAGGACAGCTATCTGAACTGCAGCCAAAGGTTTCAAAAAAAATTAGGAACTCTCAAGTACTGGAAGGCACATAAGTTACACATAAGTTACTAAGTAAAAGTTACTAAGTAAATCATTACAATAACTAGCTTAAAACTTACATTTTATCTTAAATATCTAAGCCTTATTGTTTCCATTTTGATGAGAAACACTTCTTAGAAGACAACTGATATTAAACGAAGAAATAGATTTAAAACATGTCTAATGCTCAAAGCTTCTTTAAAAATAAACACTCCCACTTTGCCTGCATGTTAATAAAGTAGAAAAACAAAGCAAAAAACTAAGTGCTATAAAGAAATGTGCATATTTCCTTCATCAAATACAACTACAAGTTTCAACTGTCATTGATAAGTCATTACTAAGCAGCAAGCTGCATAAACTAATGAGAAATTGGGACTCTCCCTCCAATAGCAGCAAAGGAGACAAATGGTGCTACGGTTGAAATGTTTTTGTCCCCTCCAAATTCATGTGTTGGAAGCTTAATCCTCAATGCAACAGTCTTAGAAGATAGTGCCTAATGGGAAGCATTTAGCTCACAATAGTTCCGCCCTCATGATGCATTAATGCCATCATAAAGAGAGCATATTGCAATGGGTTTGCTCTCTCCTGCTCTTCTGCCATGTGAGGAAACCACATTCATCCTCTCTTGCCCTCCCATCTTCTCCCATGTGAGGACACACCAAGAAGGCCTCACCAGACGTCAATACCTTGATCTTGGACTTCCCAGCCTCAAGAAGTGTGAGAAATAAATTTCTGTTCTTTATAAATTATCTAGTCTCAGATATCCTGTTACAGCAGCACAAAATGAACTAAGACAAAGGGCAAGATGTTAAAATAAATAAATAACCCAGCAGACAAATGAATAAATAAAATTTAAAGGGATGGCTGCCTGAAAAATATGCCTTGACTTTAGTAGCAAAACCCAGGAAAAGGAACATGGAAATAGTCCCTTGAGCTGAGATGTCATTTCCCCCATGGGAATCATATATACAATAACCTTGGAGCTAATGATTTCTAAAATGTTCTACAAGAAAACTGAACACCAATTTCTTGAAATAAGAAATAACACTGCTATACATAAATTGAGAAAAACTTCTGAATTAGAGTTAATGGTACAATATCCAATGTTATATAAATGCAAACCCAAAAATTTGAAGCTATATAGCCAATTAGCTCAGGATACATACTTCAGTTACCTAAAATTGTGATGTTCCCTACTATCAACTCTGTCTTCATGCTAATACTATTAGGTGTAAAAAAAAAAATAAGTAAAACATTTCTATTCTGGCAAGTGTAAATAATTTTTTAAACTTGAGATTTTATCTTTTTTTTTTTTTTTTTTTTGAGATAGAGCCTTGCTCTGTCTCCCAGGCTGGAGTGCAGTGGTGCAATCTCAGCTCACTGCAACCTCTGCCTCCCAAGTTCAAGCGATTCTTCTGACTCAGCTTCCTGAGTAGCTGGGATTACAGGCACCCGCCACCACGTCCAGCTAATTTTTACACTTTTAGTACAGGGTTTCACCACCTTGGCCAGGCTGGTCTCAAACTCCTGACCTCAGGTGATCCGCCCACCTTGGACTCCCAAAGTGCTGGGATTACAGGCGTGAGCCACTGCACGCAGCCTACGGATGCCTTTTAAAGGAAATTCTTATAGACCCCCTAAGAAAATGTCTCTGATTCCAATGAATCCTGGGACTGGACAATTAGATAAACACTGTCTTAAGAATTAGTACTACGCCTTAAAAAAAAAAAAGGCTTTTCAATTGTGAAACATCACAGCAAAATAAGTTTCATTTTTACAACTAGTAAAATATTAGACTATCATAATTATCAAAGTTTTATGATTCATAGAAAATTGTGTATAGACTCAGAATGAGAAATCTAGTATTAAAAAAAACTGTGTTGCTTCTACTAAGAAACACTAATATTTTCCCAATAATCAGACAGTAGACATCTGTTCTTAACATTAGTATCTTTCAGTGCTAACACTTAACTATTGTAAGATTGCAAATGGCTCTGGGCAGGGCCAATAGTCACACTGCTGGCAAAAGCAAAGAAAAACTAATAATGGACATGGATAAACAAAACAATAATGCTCAATGTCATTCATTCTTCATTCAACTGCAAAGATAAGTTGAATGACACCACTATCACTTAAAACACAAAAAAGGGAAATACCAATTTAACAAATACCTTATTTTCACCCAGATATCAACAATGCGAAGGAAAAATCAGTATCTCACATGACTTTGTAGAAAACAGACTGAACAAGTAACTGCGTTCCCAGTGAACTATGAGCTACTATGTGTGGCACACGTCATTTTGTTTACTTAATGACATATGAAAACCGTAACATCTTCATCCTCGATGATAATAAAGGCAATGTGCTATTGAATTTCTTAATCTTCCTTAACCATATGCTATGGTTTGGATGTGTGTCCCCTGCAAATTTCATGTTGAAATGTGATCCCCAATGTCAGAGGTGGGGCCTAGTGGGAGATACTGAATCATGGGGTAGGGGGTGGTCCTCTCATGAGTCCCCATGGTGATTGATAAGTGTGTTCTCACTCAGTTCACGTGAGATCTGGTTGTTTATAAAAGTCTGGGACCTCCCATTCTCTCTCTTGCTCCCTTTCGTCATGTGACATGCTGGCTCTCCAATACCTTCCACCATGATTGTGTACTTCCTGAGGCCTCACCAGAAGCAGATGCCAGCACCATGCTTCCTTAAAAGCTTACAGAAGCACGAGCCAATTAAACCTTTTTTTTTTTTTTGTAAATTACCCAGCCTCAAGTATTATATTTCTTTATAGTAATGCAAGAATGGACTAACATCATACTCAAATCACATCTAATTCTTCCCTTGGAAATTTTTATAAAATATAAGCCCAGTCATGAAAATTTTTATACAAGTTTTAACAACTAACCAACGTTATCTTTTAAATACACTGTGTCCTAAAGTAGTATGATTATAATGAAATAAAAATAATTCCACTTCAAGGAAAACCTGAGAACTTTTAAAATACAATAAGTACAATTATTTATACATAAGAGCAAAATGTCATTTTCAAATGGTCAAGGAAGGAAGCTTTCAATGCTCACAAAGCGATGTAAAGCTCATATGAAAGCTGTTTTTCTAATAACTATTTAGTTTTCAACCGCCAATGTGGATATCTAGGCTGCATAATGTAAAATTCTGTTTCTCGTAAATTAAGACAATACGCTTACATTTTTTTTTTTTTTACTTTTACTCTATTATATAGCACACACTTCCCAAAGTTTAAATTGGGAAGTGAATTAAGTTTATAGCAAAATTGTCATGTTCTAATATTTCTATTTTGGGAAATGTGTGCCATTCTGAAATTAGTGACTTGTTATAAATAGTTAAAATGGTAAATTTTAAGTTACCTATATTTTACCACAGTGAAAAAACTCTATAGATATGGTGGTTGGGGGATAGGTGGAATGGAAAATGATGGGATAGGGTTGGTAGGAAAATGATAGGGGTACTCATACCCGGGGTACCCAACGGGGTACAAACTTTCTTTTGGACATGATGAACATGTTCAAACACTGACTTTGGTGAGTTACATTTATCTATGAATATTCCAAAAAAAAAAACTGAGCCAGGCGCAGTGGCTCACGCCTGTAATCCCAGCAATTTGGGAGGCCGAGGCGGGTGGATCATGAAGTCCGGAGATCAAGACCATCCTGGCCAACATGGTGAAACCCTGTCTCTACTAAAACAAAAAAAATTAGCCGGGCATGGTGGCACGTGCCTGTAGTGCCAGCTACTTGGGAGGCTAAGGTAGGGGAGTCGCTTGAAGCCAGGAGAGGCTGCAGTGAGCCAAGATGGCGCCACTGCACTCCAGCCTAGCAACAGAGAAAGACTCCCTCTCAAAAAAAAAAAAAAAAGAAGAAGATGGTCAATAGGAACAGCTCTGGTCTGCAGCTCCCAATGAGATCAAGGCAAAAGGCGAGTTATTTCTGCATTTCTAACTGAGGTACCCAGCTCATCTCACTGGGACTGGTTAGACAGTGGGTGCAGCCCAAGGAGGGCAAGCTGAAGCAAAGTGGGGTGTCGCCTCACCCGGGAAGCACAAGGGGTCAGGCAAACTTCCCCACCCCTAGCCAAGGGAAGCACTGAGGGACTGTGCTGTGAGGAACAGAGCATTTTGGCCCAGATACTACGCACTTCCCATGGTCTTCGCAATCCGCAGACCAGGAGATTCCTTTCGATGCCTACACCACCAGGGCCCTGCATTTCAAGCACAAAGCTAGGTGGCCGTTTGGGCAGACACCGAGCTAGCTGCAGGAGTCTTTTTTCATACCCCAGTGGCGCCTGGAATGCCAACAAGACAGAACCGTTCACTCTTCTGGAAAGGGGGCTGAAGCCAGGGAGCCAAGTGATCTACCTCAGCGAATCCCACCCCCACGGAGCCCAGCAAGCTAAGATTCACTGGCTTGAAATGCTCGCTGCCAGCACAGCAGTCTGAAGTCAACCTGGGATGCCCAAGCTTGGTGGGGCAAGGGGCGTCTGCCATTACTGTGGCTTGAGTAGGTGGTTTTCCCCTCACAGTGTAAACAAAGCCGCTGGGAAGTCTGACCTAGGCAGAGCCCACCACACCTTGGCAAAGCCACTGTAGCCAGACTGCCTCTCTAGATTCCTCCTCTCTGGGAAGGGCATCTCTGAAAGAAAGGCAGCTGCCCCAGTCAGGGGCTTATAGATAAAACTCCCATCTTCCTGTGACAGAGCACCTGGGGGAAGGGTAGGTTGTGGGCACAGCCTCAGCAGACTTAAATGTTCCTGCCTGCCACCTCTGAAGAGAGCTGTGTATCTCCCAGCACAGCGCTTGAGCTCTGCTAAGGGACAGACTGCCTCCTCAAGTGGATCCCTGACCGCCATGTATCCTGACTGGAGACACCTCCTAGCAGGGGTCAACAGACACCTCATACCGGAGAGCTCCGGCTGGCATCTGGCAGGTGCCCCTTTGGGACGAAGCTTCCAGAGGAAGAAACAGGCAGCAATCTTTGCTGTTCTGCAACCTCCGCTGGTGAAACCCAGGTAAACAGGATCTGGAGTGGATCTCCAGCAAACTCCAGCAGACCTGCAACAGACGTGCCTGACTGTTAGAAGTAAAACTAACAAACAAAGGAACTGCATCAACATCAACAAAAAGGACATCCACACAAAAACTCCATCTGAAGGTCACCAGCATCAAAGACCAAAGGCAGATAAATCCACGAAGATAAGGAAAAACCAGCACAAAAAGGCTGATAATTCCTAAAACCAGAACGCCTCTTCTCCTCCAAAGGATCACAACTCCTCACCTGCAAGAGAACAAAACTGGACAGAGAAGGAGTTTGACAAATTGACAAAAGTAGACTTCAGAAGGTGGGTAATAACAAACTCCTCCGAGCTAAAGAAGCATGTTCTAACCCAATGCAAGGAAGCTAAGAACCTTGAAAAAAGGTTAGAGGAATTGTTAACTAGAATAACCAGTTTAGAGAAGAACATAAATTACCTGATGGAGCCGAAAAACACAGCACAAGAACTTCATGAAGCATACACAAGTATCAATAGCCAAATCAAGTGGAAGAAATTATATCAGAGATTGAAGATCAATTTAATGAAATAAAGCGTGAAGACAAGATTAGAGAAAAATGAATGAAAAGGAATGAACAAAGCCTCCAAGAAACATGGGACTATGTGAAAAGACCAAACCTATGTTTCATTGTGTGAATGAATGTGACGGGGAGAATGGAACCAAGTTGGAAAACACTCTGCAGGATATTATCCGGGAGAACTTCCCCAACCTAGCAAGACAGGCCAACATTCAAATTTAGGAAATACAGAGAACACCACAAAGATACTCCTTGAGAACAGCAACCCCAAGACACATAATCGTCAGATTCACTAAGGTTGAAATGAAGGAAAAAATGTTTAGGGCAGCCAGAGAGAAAGGTCGGGTTACCCACAAAGAGAAGCCCATCAGACTAACAGCAGATCTCTCTGCAGAAACCCTACAAGCCAGAAGAGAGTGAGGTCCAATATTCAACATTCTTAAAGAATTTTCAACCCAGAATTGTATATCCAGCCAAACTAAACTGAAGGAGATAGAGACACGAAAAACCCTTCGAAGAAAAGGGTTTGAAGGGTTTTTCGTGTCTCTATCTCCTTCAGTTTAGTTTGGCTGGATATAATGAATACCCAGGAGCTGGTTTTTTGAAAAGATTAGCTGAATAGATAGACCACTAGCCAGACTAATAAAGAAGTAAAGAGAGAAGAATCAAATAGACACAATAAAAAATGATAAAGGTGATATCACCACTGATCCCACAGAAATACAAACTACCATCAGAGAATACTATAAACACCTCTATGCAAATAAACTAGAAAACCTAGAAGAAATTCCTGGACACATATACCCTCCCAAGACTAAACCAGGAAGAAGTTGAATCCCTGAATAGACCAATAACAAGTTCTGAAACTGAGACGGTAATTAATAGCCTACCAACCAAAAAAAGCCCACGACCAGATGGATTCACAGCCAAATTCTACCAGAAGTACAAAGAGGAGCTGGTATCATTCCTTCTGAAACTATTCCAAACAACAGAAAAAGAGGGACTCCTCCCTAACTCATTTTATGAGGCCAGCATCATCCTGATAACAAAACCTGGCAGAGACACAACAAAAAAAGAAAATTTCAGGCCAATATCCCTGATGAACATCAATGTGAAAATCCTCAATAAAATACTGGCAAACCGAATCCAGCAGCACATCAAAAAGCTTATCCACCATGATCAAGTCAGCTTCATCCCTGGGATGCAAGGCTAGTTCAACATATGCAAATCAATAAACGTAATCCATCACATAAACAGAACCAATGACAAAAACCACGATTATCTCAATAGATGCAGAAAAGGCCTTTGATAAAATTCAAAACCCCTTCATGCTGAAAACTCTCAATAAAGTAGGTATTGATGGAATGTATCTCAAAATAATAAGAGCTATTTATGACAAACCCACAGCCAATATCATACTGAGTGGGCAAAAGCTGGAAGCATTCCCTTTGAAAACCAGCACAAGACAAGGATGCCCTCTCTCACCACTCCTATTCAACATAGTATTGGAAGTCCTGGACAGGGCAATCAGGCAAAAGAAAGAAATAAAGGGTATTCAAATAGGGAAAGAGGAAGTCAAATTGTCTCTGTTTGTGGATGACATGATTGTATACTTACAAAACCCAAAATCTCCTTAAGCTGATAAGCAACTTAGCAAAGTCTCAGGATACAAAATCAATGTGCAAAAATCACAGGCATTCCTATACACCAATAGACAAAGAGCCAAATCATGAGTGAATTTCCATTCACAACTGCTACAAAGAGAATAAAATAACTAGGAATACAACTTATAAGGGATGTGAAGGACTTCTTCAAGGAGAACTACAAACCACTGCTCAAGGAAATAAGAGAGGACACAAACAAATGGAAAAACATTCCATGCTCATGGATAGGAAGAATCAATATTGTGAAAATGACCATACTGCCCAAAGTAATTTACAGATTCAATGCTATGCCCATCAAGCTACCACTGACTTTCTTCAAAGAATTAGAAAAAAACTACTTTAAATTTCATATGGAACCAAAAAAGAGCCCACATAGCCAAGACAATCCTAAGCAAAAAGAACAAACCTGGAGGCGTCATGCTATCTGACTTCAAACTATACTACAAGGCTACAGTAACAGTATAGTACTGGTACCAAAACAGAGTTATAGACCAATGTAACAGAAAAGAGGCCTCAGAAATAACGCCACACATCGAAAACCATCTGATCTTTAACAAACCTGACAAAAACAAGCAATGGGGAAAGGATTCCCTATTTAATAAATGGTGTTGGGAAAACTGGCTAGCCATATGCAGAAAACTGAAACTGGACCCCTTCCTTACAACTTATACGAAAATTAACTCAAGGTGGCTTAAAGACGTAAACGTAAGACCTAAAACTATAAAAACCCTAGAAGAAAACCTAGGCAATACCATTCAGGACACAGGCATGGGCAAAGACTTCATGATTAAAACACCAAAAGCCATGACAACAAAAGCCAAAATTGACAAATGGGATCTAATTAAACTAAAGAGCTTCTGCTCAGCAAAAGAAACTACCATCAGAGTGAACAGGCAACCTATAGAATGGGAGAAAATTTTTGCAATCTATCCATCTGACAAAGGGCTAATATGCAGAATCTACGAGGAACTTAAATTTACAAGAAAAAAACAAACGAATCCCATCAAAAAGCAAGCAAAGGATATGAACAGACACTTTTCAAATGAAGACATTTATGCGGCCGACAAACATATGAAGAAAAGCTCATCAGAGAAATGCAAATCAAAACCACAATGAGATACCATCTCACGCCAGTTAGAATGGTAATCACTAAAAAGTCAGGAAACAACAGATGCTGGAGAGGACATGGAGAAACAGGAACACTTTTATACTGTTGGTGGGAGTGTAAGTTAGTTCAACCATTGTGGAAGACAGTGTAGCAATTCCTCAAGGATCTAGAACCAGAAATACCCTCTGACCCAGCAATCCCATTACTGGGTATATACCCAAAGGATTATAAATCATTCTACTATAAAGACACATGCACATGTATGTTTACTGCAGCACTACTCACAATAGCAAAGACTTGGAACCAACCCAAATGCCCATCAATGACAGACTGGATAAAGAAAATGTGGCACAAATACACCATGGAATACTATGCAGCCATAAAAAAGGATGAGTTCATGTCCTTTGCGTGGACATGGACGAAGCTGGAAACCGTCATTCTCAGCAAACTAACACAAGAACAGAAAACCAAACACTGCATGTTCTCACTCATAAATGGGAGTTGAACAATGAGAACACATGGACACAGGGAGGGGAACAACACACACCGGGGCCTGTCGGGGTGTGGGGGGCTAGGTGAAGGATAACATTAGGAGAAATACCTAATGTAGATGATGGGTTGATAGGTGCAGCAAACCACCACAGCATGTGTATACCTATGCAACAAACCTGCACATTCTGCACAAGTATCCCAGAACTTAAAGCATAAAAAAAAAAAAAACTGAACTATACACTTTAAGTGGGGTAACTTGTATGTATGTAAACTATATCAAAAAAGCTGTTAAAAATGAGTAAATGAAGCAATTTTAAAATAAAAAAGAGTAAATAAAAAGAAGAAAAAAGAAAAAATGTAAACTGCTCCTTCCTTCCAGTTCTAGACCAAGATGGAGTAGATGTGCTACTCCCTGTTCTTCCCACTAAACAGATAAAAACCCTGGACATTATACATCAAAATGTGGAGAGAAGAGGGCAGACCAGTAAGGTCCTTGGACCCAGAGAACAAGACAACAGTGAGTTTCCAGTATTTCCTTTTGGTCTCATGCCCATGTTGTGTACTAGAGAGTTAGCAACCAGAAAAGTAATAGACACAGACCAAAAAAGTCCCCAAGAAAAGTCTGGTCTCTCCAGCCAAAGGACCAGGAAAAGGGCAGCCTAGTGGAACGAAAAATTTTTGATAGTAATTGCTATATCCCATCCAAAGACGACAGAAAAAGCAAATAGCCTCACCTACATTGAACAGCAAAGAGTGCGTGAAGCCTGGACTCCCACACGCCCCAGCCGTAGGAAGACACTCTCCCCATTGCCCAGGTGGTGTCAGGGCAGACCAAGTCAGGAGTGGGGACATCCATCCAAGCCTGGCAGTCATTGTAGGGTACATGCACAAGGGTGCCGGATGCTCGTTCCTGTTAAAGTTTCAAAAAATTTAGTTTAAAGATCGAACCGGCTTTTATTAGCAAATCAGGCAGTATTTCATCTATGAAATAGAAAGATACTCAGATATGCTGAGCAGCAGAGGTAAACTTTACAGCCAGAGAGGGCTGCAGAAAGCAGATACGAGGAACAAAATACAGATTGGGCATTTCAAAGTTACTTTCCTTACAGGGTAAAGTAGAGAGGACTCTCTTATGCTGGCTCAGTTTGGCCCCCTTATGATTGGTTGCTGTGAACCTCTTGTTTTTGAGGAAACTGGTCTGTTTTTAATTTAGTTTGATTGTGGCACCTAGCACAAGTGACTCCATTCTGGTTTGTTCTGGTCTGCTTTGCCTGGTGCAGGAGCTTAGTCTGAAATAATGGCCTCTGGTACATTGTATTTAACATCCCCAAATAGCAGTAATAAAGCATTCCTGCCCATCTCTATAATGTCAGAGGAGGCCTAGTGAAAAGTGGAAAATCTAACCACCTTCTAAAAGGTAACACCACCCATGCAATGTCAGTGGAGGCCACAGGCATGCAGTAACCAGGCACTCCTCCCCTTCCCAGCCAAGGTATTGTTAGCAGAGACCACTGGGGAGCCAGCAGTCACATGGTACCTTCCCTTCCCAGATGTCAAAGGGGGCTGTGAAGGGAATCTGGCTCTTCAGCCCCTTCTGGCAGTAACCCCCACATTCCACTCCCACCACCACCAGGCCCGATAAGCAGAAGATTTAAATAAGGTCCCAAATCTCATAACATAATACCCAAAATGTCTAGGCTATACTGGAAAATCACTCATTATCCCCAAAACCAGAAAAATTTCAACTCAAATGAGAAAAGAGAATCAATAGATGTCAACATCAAAACAACACAGATACTGAAATTATCTAATGAGGATTTTTAAACACACATCATAAAAATGTCTCAATGGACAATTATGAACAGACTTGAAACAAATGAAAAAATATAAAGTCTCAGAAGAGACACTGCTAGTATGAGGAAGAATCAACTGGAAATTTTGAAACTAAAAATCTTAATGGATGGGCTCAACAGTAAAACTAAAAAAACGAGGAAGAAAAAATCAGTGAACTTTAAGAGAAAATAACAGAAACTGCCCAATATGAACAGGAAATGGACTTAGAAAAAATGAGCAGAAACTCAGGACCCTATGGTACAAGAAAAGATTTCACAAGGTGTCACCAGGGTAAAAGAAGGGACGGAGAGTAGAGCTCAAAAAGCACTCAAAGAATGGCTGCAAACTTCTCAGATTTGACAAAAGACACAAACTTATAGAATTAGGATACTAAGCAAACCCTAAACAGGGTAATCCTGAAGAAATCCATACCAAGACCCAGAACAGTCAAACGACTAAAAACTAAAGACTTAAAAAAAATGCTTGAAAGTAGTAAGAGAAAAGTGACACCTATCTCAAAAGGAAAAACAACTCAAATGATATCAGATTTCTCATCAGAAAGCACGGAGACCAGAAAGAAGTGGCATAACACTTTTCAAGTTCTGAAAGAAAAGAACTGTCAACTCCGAATTCCGTATCTGGTGAAATTATCCTTCAGGAATGAAGGAGAAATACAGGCATCTTCAGATGAAGGAAAACAAAGAGAATTTGTTTCCAGTAGACTTACCCTAAAAGAATAGTTAGAGAATTACTGAAACAGAACAAAAATAAGAAATTGTGGACTATCAGGAAATAAGAAAACAGAAAGGGCAGAAAGGGTAGATGAATATAATAGGCTTTCCTTTGCCTCTTGAATATTCTAGATTGAGAGAAAGCAAAAATTGTTAACACTGTCTGATATAGGGTTCTAATTGTATATAAGGGAAATATTTATATACTTTTACATATGTAAAATCTACATACACTTTTACATGAGTATTATATTACCAATGGGAGAATAAAGGGATTTAAAGAGGTAAAGCTCTTACACTTTACCCAACAACCGTTAAAATACCAACAACAGTACACTGCAATGAGTTATGTATATGTAATGTAATTCCTAGAGCTAGCACTAAGTAATATCTACACAAAGAAATACACTGAAGAACGCTATAGATAAATCAAACTGGAATTCTAAAAAATGTTGAAGCATAATCCGTAAGGCAGGAAAAAGAAAACCGAGAAACAAAAACAGAAAGCAAAAAATAAAATGGCATAAACATTACGCTGAACATAAACCTTCTAAATATATCAATCCAAAGACAGACAATGGCGGTGGGTAAAAAAAAAGAACCAACCGTATGACAACTACCAGAAAATCACTTCAAATATAAGTGACTTGAGAGAGAAAGGATGGAAAATTATATACCATGCAAACATTAATTGAAGGAAAGCAGAGGTAGCTATATTAGTGTCAGATGAAGATTTCAGAGCAGAAAAATTACCAGAGACACATGGGTGAACTACATAATGATAAAAGTGTCAATGCATCTAGAACACACAGGAATCTCAAATGTGTATGCACCAAACAACAGACCTGCAAAATATGTGAAACAACAATTGATAAAACTCTAAAAAGAGGCAGGGTGCACTGGCTCATGCTTGTAATCCCAGCACTTTGGAAGGCCGACAGAAGGCGATCACTGAGCCCAGGAGTTCAAGTCCAGTGCAACCCCATCTCTACAAAAAAAAATTAAAAAATTAGTTGGGCATGTTGGCATGTGCCTACTATCCCAGCTACTCTGGAGGCTAAAGCAGGAGGATGGCTTGAGCCCAGAAGGTCGAGGCTGTAGTGAGCGCCTGTAGTCCCAGCTACTTGAGAGGCTGAGGCAGGAGAATGGCGTGAACCTGGGAGGCAGAGCTTGCAGTGAGCCAAGACTGCACCAATGCACTCCAGCCTGGGGGACAGAGTGAGACTCCGTCTCAAAAAAAAAAAAACTCTAAAAAGAATAAACAAAGTCACAAGGGAAGATGAACTCAACAGCACCATTAACTAAAAGGTAATAATCAACATTTAACAGCAAAATAAATGTTATTTTCAAAAGCCAGAGAATAGTTACCAACATACAGGTTGAGTCACAATATCTTACTGCAAGCCTTGTAAAAGCACCACTTAACTTTATAAACTATGTGTATGTTACCACGATAAAATAAAACCCAACTTCAGAAAATAATGTAGAAGCACAACTTCTGGTCCAGACAAAATGCCACAGACCCATTTCTCTGCTCCTCCCCAGTTAAGTCCAACTATAAATCCTAGTAATTAAGCAAGAGCCAATCAAAGGAGAGTTCTGGAAGAAGGTAAGAAGGCAGCAGTGACTTCCTGAGACTCCCCTCTCCCACCAAGGGATACTGGGGCCTGAGGCTCCCCTCTCCCATCAGGGGATACCGGGGCATCTGGGCAGTAGCAGTAAGGGGAACTTGCCACTACAAGCTGCTGGCCCAGTAAGGCTCTGTGCCCCTCATGCCCGAGACTGGTCTCTCTCATTAGGGAGAGCCAGGCAGCACCGACAGGTGCAACCCCACCACATAAGGGGCCCAGTCCAGAAAACCTTTTTATCCATAACCTAAGACCTTGCTCCAAGACATCAGAGCATCGAGGTGGCACCAGCAATAGGGATTCTGCCACAGGAACCCTTTTACCATGGTGGTGCTAAGACTCCTCTTCTCCAACCCAGACACACCAGGGCAGCCACTGGGTCCATATGGATGGGATACAGCCACAGCCAGGGCCCAGCCAAAGAAGCCTCTTCATCCCCATGGGTCTGACACTTCCATCTTTTAGTAAGAGACGCCAGGCCTAGGAAAATCCACCTTTCCCTCTCACGCAGCACCAACAGAGACCAGGAAGAGCCCCAGTGATACCACATAAACCAAGCAGACCAAAGATCACAGCACAAAGGCTCTGAGAATTAAAATGTCATTTAGAACCACAGCCCACAAATGTAGCCCAGGACCTATGTGCTGAATCTAAACAGGGTGGCTGCACGCTAAAATAAAAGATATAAATAGAACCCAAATTCTCCTAATATACAAAATACCCAAGAGACAATCGAAAACCATCTGTCAAACCAAGAGCCAGAACATTCGCAATCTGAATTAGAAAAGGCAATCACATGACACCGACACTGAGCTAACTCAGATACTGGCATTAATTATATGACAAGCATTTTAAAGCAGCAGACATAAAAATGCTTCCACAATCAAATATTATCTTGAAACAAACATAAATTATAAAACTGAGAAATACAATAACAGAAATAAAACCTCACTGGATGAGATTGAGAATAGAGTGGAGATAACAGAGTAAAGAATTAGGGAATTACCCTCTCCCTTCTCCCTCTCCGTCGTCTCCGTCTCCCGCTTTCCACGGTCTCCCCCCTCCCTCGTCTCCGTCTCCCGCTTTCCACGGTCTCCCTCTGTTGCCGAGGCTGGACTGTACTGCCGCAATCTTGGCTCACTGCAACCTCCCTGCCTGATTCTCCTGCCTCAGCCTGCCGAGTGCCTGGGATTGCAGGCGCGCGCCGCCACGCCTGACTGGTTTTTGTATTTTTTGGTGGAGACGGGGTTTCTCCGTGTTGGCCAGGCTGGTCTCCGGCTCCTGACTTCGAGTGGTCTGCCCGCCTCGGCCTCCCGGGGTGCTGGGATTGCAGACGGAGTCTCGCTCACTCAGTGCTCAATGTTGCCCAGGCTGGAGTGCAGTGGGGTGATCTCGGCTCGCTACAACCTCCACTTCCCAGCCGCCTGCCTTGGCCTCCCAAAGTGCTGAGATTGCAGCCTCTGCCCAGCTGCCACCCCATCTAGGAAGTGAGGAGCGTCTCTGCCTGGCCACCCATTGTCTGGGATGTGAGGAGCCCGTCTGCCCGGCCTCCCAGTCTGGGAAGTGAGAAGCGCCTCTTCCCGGCCGCCACCCCATCTAGGAAGTGAGGAGCGTCTCCGCCTGGCGGCCCATCATCTGGGATGGGAGGAGCTCCTCTGCCCCGCCGCCCAGTCTGGGAAGTGAGGAGCGCCTCTTCCTGGCCGTCATCCCGTCTAGGAAGTGAGGAGCGTCTCTGCCCGGCCGCCCATCGTCTGGGATGTGACGAGCGCCTCTGCCCGGCCGCCCTGTCTGGGAGGTGAGGAGCATCTCTACCCAGCCGCCACCCTGTCTGGGAACTGAGGAGCGCCTCTGCCCGGCCGCCCCATCTGAGAGGTGAGGAGCCCCTCTGCCCGGCAGCCACCCCATCTGGGAGGTGAGAAGCATCTCCGCCCAGCCGCCCCGTCTGGGAGGTGGGGGGCGCCCCCGCCCAGCAGCCGCCTGGTCTGGGAGGTGGGGGGGCGCCCCCACCCGGCAGCCGCCTTGTCTCAGAGGGGTACCCAACAGCTCACTGAGAACGGGCCATGATGACGATGGCGGTTTTGTCGAACAGAAAAGGGGGAAATGTCGGGAAAAGAAAGAGAGATCAGATTGTTACTGTGTCTGTGTAGAAAGAAGTAGACATAGGAGACTCCATTTTGTTCTGTACTAAGAAAAATTCTTCTGCCTTGGGATGCCGTTAATCTATAACCTTACCCCCAACCCCGTGCTCTCTGAAACATGTGCTGTGTCAACTCCAGGTTAAATGGATTAAGGGCGGTGCAAGATGTGCTTTGTTAAACAGATGCTTGAAGGCAGCATGCTCGTTAAGAGTCATCACCACTCCCTAATCTCAAGTACCCAGGGACACAAACACTGCGGAAGGCCGCAGGGTCCTCTGCCTAGGAAAACCAGAGACCTTTGTTCACATGTTTATCTGCTGACCTTCTCTCCACTATTGTCCTATGACCCTGCCAAATCCCCCTCTCCGAGAAACACCCAAGAATGATCAATAAATACTGAAAAAAATTAAAAAAAAAAAGAATTAGGGAACTTGAGAAGAGATTAATAGAATTTACACAATCTGAACAACACAGAGAAAAGAAACAGGGAAAGAGCCTAAGGAAATTATGAAACACCAACATAAGATCCAACTTTCTTAACACTGGAAATCCAAATGGAGAGAAGAGAGTGGGAGCAACTCTCCATTATTTCAACAACAACAAAGAGTAGTTGAAGAAATAATGGCTAAAAACTCCCTAAATTTATTCGAAAACCAAAAAAAAAAAAAAAAACAAAACCAAACATGAAATCCAAAGAAATCCATGATAAGACACATCATAATTAAACTTCTGAAAACTAAAGACAAAGTAAAAACTTGAAAGCAGCCAGAGAGAAATGACACATTATCTACAGGGGAACATCAATCTGAGTGACAGCAGCATCCTAATCAGAAACCATGGACACAAGAAGGAAGCAGCACAAGATTTTTCAAGTGCTAAGAAAAGAATGGCAGGCTAGCAGCCATGGCTCACGCCTTAATCCTAACACTCTGGGAGGATGACACAGGAGGATCACTTGAGACCAGTTGGGCAATATAGCAAGATGCTGTCTCTTCAAAAAAAATTTTTTTTAATTAGCCAGGCATGGTGGTATGTGCCTATAGTCCCAGCTACATGGGTGGATTGCCTGGGCCCAACAGATCAAAGCTGTAATGAGCTACGATCGCATCACTAACTCCAGCCAGGAGAACAGAGTGAGACCCTGTCTCAAAAAAAAAAAAAAGGAAGAACAATAGAAAAAGGGGAAATATGCGTATGTGGTATATGCAATACACTATCTTTATCATCATGAGTTTTATAAACCATATTTGATGACTGACACAAAAACTGTAACACCATCTGATACCCAGGACATGATACTTAAAGTGAGGACCTAAGTGAAAGAAGGGTTTCCACACTTGACTGGAAGTGGTGAAATACAGCAATACACCATGGTGATAAGTCACATTTGTATATTGTAATACCCAGAGCAAGCACTGTAAAAACTATACCAACACCTAATCTCAAACACACTATAGGGATACCAAAAAAGTGTCCAAGTAACCCAAAAAGTGGCAAAAAAAAAAAAAAAAAGAAACAGGAATCAGAATGAGAATCAGAAGAAACAGAACACAGATAATAAATGGCACACTTATATTCTAACATATCAGTAATTATCGTAAATGTAAATGGTGTAAATATGCCAATCAAAAGAGAATGGCATAGTTGATAAAAAATATAAGATCCAACAAGAAACTCACTTCAAATTCAACATAGGTAAGTTGAAAGCTAATACCATGCAAACATTAATCCAAAAAAAAGCATAAATGGCGACATCAATATCTAATAAAGATTTTAGAGCAAAGAAAATTACCAGAGACAGAGGAACATTAACAATGAAAGGAACAATCCACCGAGATGACAAAAAATCTTGAATGTGCGTGCACCACATGACAGTGCTTCAAAGTACATGAGGCAAAAATGGATTCAATCTGTGATGGAAACCTATTTTGAAACAGGTGGCACATTTCCAACTAAAGAACTCCTAAAATTAAACAGATTTACTAACACAATTACTGTTATAGGTAACACCAGAACCCACTTCCAACCAAGCACTGAAAAAAGGGCACCTTACACATGTTCTACTGTAATCTCCAATAATCCCGTAAGAAAAAATATTATCCAGCATTTTACAGATGAGGAAACCATGGCTTGAGTTTAAATAAGTTACCCGAGAGTAAATCGCTAGTGGGTAAACACTCAAATCAGCGTTATAACATTCCAGTATGTACTTTGAGCTATATGTTAGTCTCTCAAATGGCCGAAAACAAAAATTATTCAAAAACTCAAATTCTGAAGCAACTACATATTGAGTGAAATTATGTTTTCGACAATTCCTCTGGAATAAAACTTCAAAAACTATAAGAAGCAACACTTTTTAAAATTTTCTTTTCTTTGAATGAGAAATGTTAAATATGAGCTAAATGCAATCTCGAGTATGAAAGGTCTGTACACTAATTCTACTGCTAACCTGTGACCCCACTAAACAAGTTAACCGTTCTCAATACCCCATTTCCCTTTCGTAAAAGCAAAATTACTTGTCGACAAAAAGCACTTTGTATATATATGTTTAAACAAAAAGTGTGCCTAGCAAAGATATCGAAATGTCGAAGAGAAGTCATTTCAATAAGAAGTGTGTTTTTAACAAAGCAATTAAAAGTTACATCCGTCACCTTCACAATTCACAGGGCTACAAGAACAAGTTTCGGAGACTCTGAAGTATCCGAGAAGTTAGCACTTTTGATCCCCGTTTACTTTAGGAGAGCAGCCACCCCTCAACACTGGACCGCGGTTCTCTGCTCCCGTTCTGGCTCCTACGCTCGGCCCAGGCGTCCCGGGGATGCAGCCGCTCGCCCCGGCAGCTGCCCGCGGCCCTCACCACCGGCGGACGCCACAGCTGCGGCGCGCTCAGAACGCCAAGGACTCCCGGCTCCCAGCGAACAGATGGGGCGCGCCGGTAGCGACCCCAGACCCGCCCGGCTCCGGGTTCCTGCGGTGGGCTGGGGGCCCCGGGGAGCGTCGGCGGGGAACGGGGCCAGTGCCGCCTCGGTTACCTGCTGTGCCGGTCGGCTCCCGGCCTGGGCCCCGCGGCGCTGTAGTAGGCCGCGCGTTTGCGGTTGGCTGCGGCCGCCGCTGCGCTACGCACCGGGTAAAGCGGGATCTGGTCCGCCATGTTCCGACCGCCCCTTTCCCGCCCCTCCCACTTTCCCCTCAATTCGCCACCTTTTCCCCGCCCTCTCCCCTCAGCGCCAACCCCGGCTGAGGCGCCGCCTGCGGGCCTTCCCCGCCTCCGCCAAGCGGCGAGGTCCGATGACGTAACGAGCGGCGGCGCGGAAGGTGTGGCGTCCCTAGGCCCCGCCCTCGTTTGGCGTCGGCGCACGATGACGTGCCCAGGGTGGCAAAAGCGCGGCGCAGGAGGCAGTGGAGTCCGGGCAATGACGTCACGAGTGGCTAAAGCTGGGACGGGGGGCGTCGCGTTCCGAGGCCCCGCCCCCGCCTCGTGACGGGCCCGATGACGTCACCGATCGGCGGGGCGGGGCGCGCGTGCGCCACAGGCTGGCCTTCCGGTAGCGCGCGAGGGCCTGCACGTGGGTCGTGGTTCGACCCGGCGCGCTCTGGTCCGCGGGTGGAAGGGCCTCGCAGCCGTCTCCTGGAAGCTCTGCCGGGGACACGCGTGGGCGCGCGCGGCCTCCTTAGCGGTCCAGAGCCTGCGCTGCCAGTAGTACGCGCGCCCCATGGCTGTGTGGGGCCCCACGCGCCCTCCTCGCCGCGCGGCTTCTTGCTTCCGCCCCGCGCTTCTCCAGCCTGCCTTCGGTGCCCGCTTCCTGCCCGCGCCCTTGGAACCGCTGGTGTCTGTGCGTTCACAGGCAGGGTCGTGCTACGTGGCCCGGGCCCCCAAAGCGCCGCGACTGCAGGCGCGCCCACCGCGCCGGGCTGAATTTCCGAGATGTTCTTGTCCTGCTTCCTCACTGCTGCTTCCTTCTTTCTCTGGTTCTGGGTCTTTAGCTTGATTCCACATCCCCCACCTCTAGGCCCACAGCCTGCTGAAAAGTCCTATAGGCGACTGTCAGAAACGAGGTTTACACCCTCAGTCTACACAAGAAAGCAAAACGATATTGAATAAACGAATACACGGCTTTGGTTGGGTTTGTTTCATTTCCTGTCCCGAGGACAGCTCCCTTCCACCTCCATCACCCGCTGCAGCTGGAAGCCGGCAAGCTGATGCACCGCTCACCTCACGTATTAATGGTTTACTCACTTTGTGTTTTTTTAAACAATGTTTTTCTGATATTCCATTTTCATGACATATAAATTTTGTCTATGTGTTTGAAACACTGTTCAACATGAACTTATAAATGCTTTTCTTTTCTGTTTTTTGGAGATGGGGTCTCTGTTACCCAGGCTGGAGTGTAATGTTTTGATCACGGCTCACTACATCTTCCACCTCTCAAGGTTCAGGTGATCTTCCCCCATCTGCATGTATTACTTTTTCATTATAAAAAATGGTCTTTATGAATATGAATATTCTTAATTTGTTGCTGCCACTCTGATTGCCAGTTTGCTTCTCAGCTGCTTTTCATGTAACCTGAATACATGCCACTCCACAGACACTAACTACTTTCAAAAGACGCCAATGGCCTCCTAATTGACAATGGCCTCACCCATTATTTCTCTACCTCACTCTCAGCCGCTGACACTGTTCACACCATCTCTCACCCACATTCAACAACTGATATTGATAACACCATCTCATTCTCACAGCACTGGCACTGTAACACCATCTCCTCACCCTCACTCAGTACCTGACAGTGATAACGCCGTCTCCTCACCCTCACTCAACTACTGACAGTGACAACAGCATCTTCTCACCCTCACTCAACTACTGACAGTGACAACACCATCTGACCCTCAGTCAACACCTGACAGTGACAACATCTTCTGACCCTCACTCAGCAACTGAAAGTGACAACAACATTTCTTCACCCTCACTCAACAACTGACAATGACAACACCTTCTCCTGACCCTCAACTACTGACAGGGACAACACCGTCTTCTCACCCTCACTCAATAACTGACAGCAACAACACCATCTCCTGACCCTCACTCAACTACTGACAGTAACACCATCATCTCCTGACCCTCACTCAACATCTGACAGTGACAGACCATCTCCTCTCTCTCACTCAACACCTGACAGTGATAACACCTTCTCCTCACCCTCACTCAACTTCCAACAGTGACAACAGCATCTCCTCACTGTCAGTCAACTACTGATAGTGACAACACCATCTCCTCACCCTCACTCAACACCTGAGAGTGACAACAGCATCTCCTCAGCCTCAGTCAACAACTGACAGTGTACCCTCACTCAACAACTGACAGTGACAACACCATCTCCTGACCCTCACTCAACTACTGACAGTGACAACACCGTCTCCTGTCTCCTTACCCTCACTCAACAACTGACAGTGACACCATCTCCTCACCCTCACTCAACACCTGACAGTGACAACAGCATCTCCTTACCCTCACTCAACACCTGAAAGTGACAACAGCATCTCAGCCTCATTCAAGAACTGACAGTGACAACATCTCCTCACCCTCACTCAACACCTGACAGTGACAACAGCATCTCCTCACCCTCACTCAACACCTGACAGTGACAACAGCATCTCCTCAGCCTCATTCAAGAACTGACAGTGACAACACCATCTCCTCAGCCTCACTCAACAGCTGACAGTGACAACATCATCTATACCCTCACTCAACACCTGACAGTGACAACAATATCTCCTCACCCTCTCTCAAGAACTGACAGTGGCAACACCATCTCCTCACCCTCACTCAACTACTGACAGTGACAACACCATCTCCTCACCCTCACTCAACACCTGACAGTGACACCACCATCTCCTCACCCTCACTCAAGAACTGACAGTGACATCACCATCTCCTCAGCCTCACTCAACTACTGACAGTGACAACACCATCTCCTGACCCTCACTCAGCTACTGACAGTGACAACACCATCTCCTCACCCTCATTCAACAACTGACAGTGACACCATCTCCTCACCCTCACTCAACACCTGACAGTAACAACAGCATCTCCTCACCCTCACTCAACACCTGACAGTGACAACAGCATCTCCTCACCCTCACTCAAGAACTGACAGTGACAACACCATCTCCTCAGCCTCACTCAACTGACAGTGACAACATCATCTACACCCTCACTCAACACCTGACAGTGATACCATCTCCTCACCCTCACTCAACACCTGACTGTGACAACAGCATCTCCTCACCCTCACTCAACTACTGACAGTGACAACACCATCTCCTCACCCTCACTCAACTACTGACAGTGACAACACCATCTCCTCACCCTCACTCAACAACTGACAGTGACACCATCTCCTCACCCTTAGTCAACACCTGACAGTGACAACAGCATCTCCTCACCCTCACTCAACACCTGACAGTGACAACAGCATCCCCTCACCCTCACTCAAGAACTGACAGTGACAACACTATCTCCTCAGCCTCACTCAACAACTGACAGTGACATCATCATCTACACCCTCACTCAACACCTGACAGTGAGACCATCTCCTCACTCTCACTCACCACCTGACTATGACAACAGCATCTCCTCACCCTCAGTCAGCTACTGACAGTGACAACACCATCTCCTCACCCTCACTCAACTACTGACAGTGAAAACACCATCTCCTAACACTCAGTAATTGACAGTGACAACACCGTCTCCTCACCGTCACTCAACAACTAACAGTGATAACAGCATCTCCTCACCCTCACTAATCACTGACACTGTTCATATCCTCTCCTCACCCTCACAGTTAATAACTCACACTGATAACACCATCTCCTCACCCTCACTCAATTTAATGGACTCACGGTTCCACATGGCTGGGGAGATCTCACAATCATGGCAGAAGGCAAGAGAGAGAATGAGAACCAAGCAAAAGGGGTTTCTCCTTATAAAACCATGAGATTTCATGAGACTTATTCGCTACCATAAGGACAGTATGGGGGAAACAGCCCCCATGATTCAGTTATCTCCCACTGGGTCCCTCCCACAACACATGGGAATTATGGGAGCTACAATTCAAGATGAGATTTGGGTGGGAACACAGCCAAACCATAACATTCAACAACAGGCAGTTTTCACACCATCTCCTTGTAAATTTTTTCCTCCCTTAAGGTTCAGACTAAATCAACTAGCTCTCTTCCTTTACCTACTCCGTCTCTCTTGAAAACTCCTCTTTCATCACCTACCCACTTAGGTAAATAATATTTATTTCTTTTTTCCTAATTCTAACCTCTCCTGGCTCCATTTCTGAATTGCTTATTCAGTTTCAATTACATGCAAAAGTTAACAATAGGGTTTATGGAGAATATCAGTATAACTAAGGCATAGTGTCTGCCCTCTAGGAAGTTTAGTAGGAGAGGGAGACATATAGGGAAACAGCTTGTTTTTACTTAGGACACAATGAAATACTTGCCATAAGTCCATAAGTATGAAGTTACACCAGTGGGTGTCTTTTTTTTTTTTTTTTTTTGAGACAGAGTCTCACTCTGTCATTCAGGCTGGAGTGCAGTGGCGCAATCTTGGCTCACTGCAACCTCTGCCTCCTGGGTTCAAGCGATTCTCCTGCCTCAGCCTCATAAGTAGCTGGGATTACAGGTGCCCGCCACCATGCCCGGCTAATTTTTGTATTTTTAGTAGAGACAGGATTTCGCCATGACGGCCAGGCTGGTCTCGAACTCCTGACCTCAAGTGATCCACCTGCCTCGGCCTCCCATAGTTTTGGGATTACAGGCGTGAGCCACCACACCCCTCCCCCAGTGGGTATCTTGATAGGAAAAAGATGACATACTTAAAGCGTTCAACTGAAGAGAGTTTCAGGAGCTGTTTGCAGAGGTAGGGATGGAAATAAGAAAGCCAAATATTTTTGATGAATTAACTGGGAGAAGCAATAGTGGAAAACTGGTTTCACCCCTAGACCAAAGAGATTAGATGAGGAAAATTGTTGACCCTGAATAGAATCCATCCTGAGTTGGAGCCCTGGGAGCAAGGCTACCTCAAAGAGCATGAGGCTATGGAGTAGATGCAGGCCAGCTGGCGGGCAAAAGCCACCTGCCACCCGCTTTGTAAATTAAGTGCTTTTGAAACACAATCACGCTAATCTGTTGACTTATTACCTATGGCTGCTCTCAAGCTATGATGGTAGAGTTAAGAAGATGCTACCGAGACCATATAACCTGTAAAGCCTAAAATATTTACCATCTGGTCCTTTAGAGAGAACGTTTGCACATCCCTATTCTACAGGAAAGAGTGGGTGGTGTAAGAGGGAAAGACAGGCACAGAATGGCTGTCTCACGGCAGAAGGCTCCATTGGTCAATGCCACCCTAGCGCAATCATGAAAAGAATAACAACAGAATGTTTAACTGACAAGTTAATGGAGGGAGGAAGAGGAATAATAAAAATACTTTATTACTTCAAGGAAGCTGTGAAAGAAGTTTAAAGAAAAAAGAACAGATGGAATAAGCAGGAAGCAAAGAAGATGGTAGAGACAAACCCGAAGGTCAGTTTATGTATATTAAATGTAAACAGACTAAATACCTCAATAAAAAGTCAGATTGTCAGATTGCATTAAAAATAAAACCCAACTGGGTGCGGTGGCTTACACCTGTAATCCCAACACTTGGGGAGGCTGAGGCGGGCAGATGGCTAGAGGCTGGGAGTTTGAGACCAGCCTGGGCAACATGGCAAAACTCCGTCTCTAATTGAAACAAAAACAAAAAGAGAAAAGAAAAAAAAAAACAACTATATGCTTGACGTCTCAGAGATCTCACATTAAATAGAAAGACCCAGAAAAGTTGAAAGTAAAAGCATAGAAAAATATACGCCATGCAACCATTGATTATAGTAGCCTCCCTGTGAGGTAAGCTCTGTGAGTATCCTTCACCTTTCCCCAGATGAGGAGCCTGGAGCACAGAGGAGTTAGGCAATCTGCCCGAGGTCACAGTGCTCACAGCTGCAGAGTCAGGCTTCAACCCAGGTGCCAAAGGCCATACCCTTAACCTCTAACCTCAAGTTGCCACCTGAGTTTTGGGAAGATGATACTGATGGCTAGAATGCGAAAGTAAGGCAAAAAGGAGAAATGAATGTCATTTAATGTCATACAAAGGGACAGTCCCACCCAAAGATGAGGGGAACGTACTTTGTTCAACTCACTGCTTACTAGTTGATGAAAGTCTTTGAGTTGGCAAAATTGCATGTTAACTTGAAGATGTTTGCCAATAGAGGTACAAATAGTTTCTGCTTTGATGCGTATTAACTACATTTTATTTTCTATATTCTTGATGCTCTGGCTAAAAGGGGAGAGCCCGTCCTGCCTACGGCTCATCCATTCTTAGAGATAGCAGATGACTCACCTGCAAGCACACGTTTCACATGCAAGCCGCCAATCCCGCCAGCCACCTCGATTGGTTGGATAAGCTCTTGCATTCCAGGCCACTGTGCCCTTGCCCTGCTTACCATAGAGTGAGGCCAGAGACAGGGAGGACAGTCCTTCATGCCAGGGCCTGCTGATCACATCAGCCAAGGCCAAACCTGCCCAGCCTGTTCTCCCCGCCTTGCCCGGCCTTCCCTTGGAAGCCACTACAAAGGCTCTTGTCTTGCCTCTTTCCCTCTGTGCCCCAACCCTGTGTGGCGTGGCATGGTGTGGCCCCTTCCTGTGGGAGCTCTAACAAACTGTGTTTTCTGTGGCCGTCATCTCCTGATCTGTTGGCCTCACTATATCTAAACAATAATAAAACCTACATTTTAAAACAAATAGGAAAATATACTTCAAAGGATATAGCTTATTGTCCTTTAGGAGATCAACCAGTTTTGTTTCTAACCAAACAATCTTATCTTAATATTCCTTTAGAAAATTGTCTCAATATCTCTAGGTCCTAAAATACTCTTTGAACCAGTTCTACATCTTACTCATTATATCTTCCTTCATTGATTAATAAGTTGAATAAAATCTTGCATGAGCATTGTAATTTTACCTCTTTGAAAATTATACTTTAGGCCAAGCACAGTGGTTCATGCCTGTAATCCCAGCACTTTGGGAGACCGAGACAGGCAGGTTGCTTGGGCTCAGGAATCTGAGACCAGCCTGGGCAGCATAGTGAAACCCTGTCTCTGCAAACATACAAAAAATTAGCTGGGCTTGGTGGCACAGGCCTGTGGTCCCAGCTACTCAGGAGGCTGAGGTGGGAGGATCACCTGGGCCCAGGAGGTTGAGGTTACACTGAGGCAAGATCACACCTCTGTACCCCAGCCTGGGTGACAGAGGGAGATCCTGTCTCAAAAAATAAAAAAAGAAAAGAAAATTATATTTTAGCAAAAAGACATAAGTTTTCACATGTTAAAGAGGAGCTTTTTAAGTATTCTTTATGGATAAGAGCAAGTATCACATTATTGTGGAATTTCAATGTCATTTAACATGTTTGAAAAGACGATGTTTTATTTTTAAATGTCAATACTTTATGATATGCCAAAAATACATGATTGATAACTATACCTATAACGAAAATGTTTAGTTGTCCACATATAATGTGTGAAGGGATACATACTTTCCCAAAATTATTTTAGGGGTCAATGTGCAAAAAAGTTGAGAGACTGCTCTTGTAATGCACACTTAAAAATCAAACACTACCATGAAAGAGGAACCTTGTAAGAGCTGTCTTTAAATACATTTGTAAAAGGCTGATTTCAGCGTTCGTTATTTCCTACCGATGCTTTCCTCACTTTGCTCTCATGGGATTCTCCCTGGAGAGAAATGCATTCTCTCTCGCAGTAGTCAGGGGATGGAAGATGTGGAGTTAGTGAACAAAAATCAACTTTACTCCTACTCCTGTCTACCATATATCTGAATTCAGAACATTCCAGCATAGACCAAAACACAGGATGTCCAACATCATATTTCACCCACTGCATAGATGTGTCTTCAGAAGAGGACGATTAAGTGCCCCTTCAAGGTTGATGATGCCTTGATCAGTAATAAAAGGAGGAAAATGCAGCCACAATACTGAGATTTTTATTCAATTTACCACACAATGCTTTCATATTAATTATAGCAAGTTAATAATTAAAAACCAAAATATTTTTGTCTCGTAATATATCCTAGCTTCTGATTTCCAGAAAGAAAAACTTAAGTCAGGGGCAAATACGTGTGTGTGCATGCACACATGGCACGTAGACTGCACGAGGAGCTTTGGTCATACCCCACAAAGCCTGGGAACTTGAGAGGGGCTTGCTGTTGTTTGGCATCAGGTGAAATGCATTTAGATGAATGTATTTAGTGGCTCATAGTTTCCTTTAAACATTCCCTCAATTACTGCTTTGTAATGAACCACAGATGTTTAAATTACTGTCACAAGAGAAAAAAACGTAATTAATAGCTTGTCATGGAAGTTTCAAAGGTTGGTAAAGAATAAATAAACTGGACTAAAATCTCACTCTTTGGGGTCTGGCTATGGTTGGTTGGGGTTGGGATGGATGAGGCTCTTCTGTATTGCCCACTGTGTGGCTGACAAGGTCTCACCTCCTTAAACTTAATGCTTAAGAATTTCTTTCTTGGCACAACCACAGTCTCAACAATGACAGAAACGGAAAATCTCTTCATACAGCTCCTAAAGGAAGTATATTCTGTTGTTAAAGTTTCATTTATGTCTCTACCACTTCAGGTAGATGAAGATAATTACTTCCAAATTCTTAGTGGAAGCCCAGAAGATATCATGCAGGATGTTTTTAATAGTAATGCAAAAATTATCTTGAAAATTCCAAAGAGAAGGTGTAATAACAAGTACTACCATATGATAATTTTATGTTGAGATATGTAAAATAGTTTATTTTGGAAAAATGGAAATAAGAATTTATTTTGTAAAAATTGCATTTCCATTAAGAGAGTTATATAAAATGAGATTTTACTATATTTTATACATACATTACATAAATATGTAAAGAGAGAGTCAATATTAAAGCATATGTGGCAATAGCAAACACATGAAAGGAACCTAAATGCCCATCAGTGGTAAATTGGATAAGGAAAATGTGGTCCATATACACCATGGAATACTACACAGCCATAATAAAGAATGAAGCCATGTCTTTTGTAGACACGTGGGTGAAGCTGGAGGTCATTATTCTAAGTGAACTAATGCGAGAAGAGAAAACGAAACACCGCGTGTTCTCACTTATAACTGGAAGGCAAACACTGAGTACACATGGACACACGGAGGAGACAGTAGACCCTGGGGCCTACCTGAGGGTGGGGGTGGGATGAAGATGAGGATCCCATACCGTGCTGCTTACCTGGGTGATGAAATAGTCCGTACACCAAGCCCCTGCAACACACAATTTACCCACATAACAAACCTGCCCATGTACCCCCGAACCTAAAATAAAAATTGGAAAGGAAAAAAAAAAACATATGTGCCTTCCAGATCTTCCAGATGAAAGCAAAAGGAAAACCTTGATAGTTAACGGGCCCAGCTCCAGCCTACAGCAGAGGAGCCATCTTTGGTGTTGCTGGGTTCTTCCATTGCTGTGATTTGGAGGAGGAGATGGCTGCCTCTCACTATTGAAGTAAAAGAGGCCAAATAGTCTGCCTACCCGGCAATTTACCCCTGGCTCTCTCTCATCTGGACGCAGGGACGGCTGCAGCTGCTCCCCTCGGCACCTGAGGTCTGTTGGGCTAACTCTTGATCAGCTGCTCTTTTTGACTTCTCCCTTCAAAGGATGATGCAGAAAAGAGTTAACAAGCAGGCCTGACTGCCATCCTCTATAGGGTCTGCTTACCAGGCTGACCCTGGGCTGGCCTCTGGGGACTCGGATTTCAGGAGGGCTCCCAGCAACCTGACAGTGCCTCTCCATGCCCGAGGCGTTTTTCCTGAACACCTGCATTCCTTCTCGAATTCTGGAATCTTGGTGCACGCCAAGAAGAGGGTGCCTGTGTGAGACCCCCAGCAGAAGCCCTGGGGGGTCTAAGGAGCTGCCCTGGTGGACAACACTTCACACGTGTTGCCGCTCTTTGCTGAGAGAATTCGCAGGTCCAGTGAGTCCAGTGGGTCCAGTGGGAGAGGGTGCTGGAGACGGTGCCTGCCTTCTTCTGACCTCACCTCACACACCTTTTCCCTTGACCGGCTGTGCCGGACACTCGGTCGCTCTAGTGGGTGGGCGGGAGTTAGATCATGTGCTGAGTCCTGGGAGTCCTTCTCGTGAACCATCAAGCCTGAGGTGGTCCTGGGGACCCCGGCCCAACCGCCATATGGAGATGCAGTGGCTGCTCTCCTGCTGACCTTCTTCCTGGTCCTGAAACCTTTTCCCTCTTGGCAGTCTACTCCCTTGTTTTCTCCCCTAGCAGTTTCCTGAGAAGGGCTCATGACAGGAAAAGGTTTCTAGACCTCACACCTCTGAAAGCGTCTCTACACCTTCACCTTAACTGGTATGAAATTCCAGGTTGGAAATACTTGTCTTCAGGATTTTGAAGACCCTGCTCCATGTTTTTCTAGAGCCTAGCTTTGCAGTTGAGTCTTTATATGGAATGAAGTCCCTTACATGAAATCCTTAGCCTTGTATGAAAATTGCTCTTTCTCTGGAAGCTTTTATGGACTTGCCTTTGTCCTGAAATTTCATCATTATTTTTCTGTTTGTAATTTTCATTATTTATTTATTTTGAGACAGGGTCTCACTCTCTCACCCAAGCCAGGGTGCAGTGGCATGATTAGCAATCTTCCCCCCACCCCAAATAGTTGGGATGACAAGTGTGTGCCACTGGGCTTTTTTTTTTTTTTTTTTTTTTTTGGAGACGGAGTCCGATCTTGGCTCACTGCAACTTCTGCCTCCCGGTTTCAAACAATTCTCCTGCCTCAGCCTCCCAAGTAGCTGGGATTACAGGTATGTGCCACCATGCCTCGCCTGGCTAATTTTCTGTATTTTTAGTAGAGACGGAGTTTGATCATGTTGGTCAGGCTGGTCTCCGACTCCTGAGCTAAAAGAATCTCCTGCCTCAGACTCCCAAAGTGCTGGGATTACAAGCATGAGCCACCGCATCCGGCCAATTTTTCTTGAGGGTATAATTTTATCCATTTTACTTGGCATTTGGTGGGCCCCTTCTGATAAGACACTAGTGTCCTTCAGTCCTGGGACATTTTTTAAAGTTATTGCTCTAATAGTTTCCTTCCTTTGGTGATGGATTTGTATGTATTAACATAGCTAAGCTTCAGCTGCTTGGCAAATCCTTCCCCTTATGGCTCTGGGTCAGCACAGGCCACAAAGACATTTTGCATGAACTCTCAAAAGCCGAAGTGAAACTGGGGCCATAGTCTTTACACCCTGAAATCAATACATTTTGGAAACATTATGCTGTGCAATAAGCTAGACACAGAAGGGCAAATATTGCAGTATTCTATTGTAGGTGGTCCGTAGAGGAGTCCAATTCCTAGAAACAGAAAGTGAAATGGTTGGGGCCAGGGGGTGGGGGTGGGGGTTGGGGAGTCAGTGCTGAATGAGGACAGAGCTTCAGTTTGGGCAGATGGAAGGGTTCTGGAGATGATGGTGGTGATGGCTGCACAACATTGTATGCTTAATGCCATGGAACTGTCCACTTACAAATGGCTAAACCAGTGAATTTCATGTTATGTCTATTTTACCACAATTTTTAGAAAAAGAAAAAGGAAGAAAACAACTAGCACAAAAGTAAAGATAGTAGTCATCTCTGCGGGTTGGGGGGACACACCAGAGAGCACTAGTAATTGTCTAGGTTTTTTTTTTTTTAAATGGAGACAGGGTCTTTCTACACCACCCAGGCTGGTCTTGAACTCCCGGGCTCAAAGGAGTAGCCAGGATGATAGGCATGCACCATTGTACCCAGCTAATTTTCTAGTTTGTAAATAGGATGGTGGGTTTGTTTATTTCCTTGCTTACATACAGGCTGCATTGATTCCTTTGAAAGGTCATGTATTATCTAATTAAATACATACCACCCACACCACCAGCACCAAAGAAAAAAAAAAGGACCAATATGGGGGCACTGAGCACTTTGGAGCTAAGAAGGCTCCACAGTGTGGGTGTGGGGTGGGCATGACCTGGACCACAGCTTCCCCAGCCCCTGCCAGACCTTCCAATGCCCATGTCCTGGACCAGAGTGTGCAGCTCCGAAGGGCCCAGCCCTTCCTGCCAGCCATACACAGGCTTGAGGTTGGAGGTGGCCTGACAAGGCACAGGCTCTCCTTTGCCCTGTGGGCACCAGATCTCAATTTGTCCTGCTGAGTCCACAGCCAGCCGTCTCCTGACCAGCTTGTCCTGCCGAGTCCACAGCCAGCCATCTCCTGACCACCGCATTCAGGACCACAGTGGCCCCCAGCCCCCACAGTTGTGCAAGGTCTACTCCCATAACCCACCCCTGCTCTGCACCCATAGAGCAGCTCCGCCTCTCCAGCCTCACCTGAGACTGGTCCTGAAAGGGGCATGGAGGAGCAGAGCCTTGGGACAGGCTCCTGGATGAGTGCCATGTTCTTGAGAACTGGTCTTCTCTGGTTCGATTTTCAAGTACTAACGACTTTGTTGACAACGGTGAATGGAACACTGGTTGCGCATGGCATGTGACAGCCAAACTGTTTCTTCAAAGCAAATTTGTAAATGCCTCTAGTCAAGTGCCTGTAGGAGGCAAGGGTGTGGGTGAACAAGCAGTTATGGCCACAGATTTTGTTTGCAAAAATAATTGATACACTAGGGTTGCTTGCTTGCTTCTGTGAGCACTGGAAAAATTGGGAAGAGAAAATGGTGGTCTCAGAATTCCAAATTTCCAGCTTAAGGTCCTTGTAAGTGACCAGAAAGTGTCTGTGAGTCCTTAAAAGAAACCCACATAGCCAGGAGTGACGGCTCACGCCTGTGACCCCAGCACTTTGGGTGGCCACAGCAGAAGGGTTGCTCAAGGCCAGGAGTTTCAGACCAGAGTGAGCAACAGAGTGAGACCTCATTTCTACAAAAAATAATTAGCCAGGTATGGTGGCACTCGCCTGTAGTCCCAGCTACAGGTCCTCCTGAGGCAGAGGGATCCTTTGAGCCCAGGAGTTGGAGGCTGCAGTGAGCTGTGATTATGCCACTGCACTCCAGCGTGGGTGGCAGAGTGAGGTCCTGTCTCTAAAGATAAAGATTAATAATAAAGAAACCCTCACCCCTGTAGCCACAAGGCTGAGAGTTCTGGAAACCAAACCCAGAATCTAATCCGGTGGGTGTCTTCTTTTGTTTGTGCTGCTATAACAAAATGCCACACACTGGGTAACTAATGAGGAACAGAAATGTATTTCCAACTCTGATGGCTGGGAAGTCCAAGACCAAGCCACTGGCATCTGGTGCCTGGTGAGGGCCTTTTTGCAGCCTTGTCTGTCAGGAGGGGCCAAAAAGGCAAAGAGGATGAGTGCTGTGCCCTCACGTGGTGGGAGAGTCAGCAGAGAAAACTCATCCCTGAGCCCTTCTATAAGGCCCTCATCCCACCCACGAGGGCTCCATCGCCATGACTTATTCACCTCCTAAAAGCTCACCTCTTCCTATGATCACAATGATGATTATGTCTCAACACGTGAATTTCAGGGACATTCAGACCACAGCACTCTGGACATGATTTGCCTTCCCCAGCTTTGATATTTCAGTCCAAGTCACCACCCCTGGACACAGAGAATGGTGTTCTCTACAGCATTGCTTCTATCCAAGAGACTGATTTTATACAGTCTCCCTGGATTATACCCATGGAATTTGCTGAGTGAAGTGAGTTGAATGATGGCATCTGAAACATATGTTCATGTCCTAACCCCTGGAACCTTGAATGTGACCTTATGTGGAAAACAGAACTGTACACATGCAGTTAAGGATCTCAGAATGTGACGATCCTGCATTACCATGTGGGCCCTAAATGCAATGACAAGTGTCCTTATAAGAGCAACACAGAGGAGACAGCCACGTGGCAACAGAGGCAGAGATTGTCATGGCCAGGCACAAGCCAAGGAGCACCTGGAGCCACACGGCACTGGAGGAGGCAGGAAGGGTCCTCCCTAGAGCCTGGGAAAGGAGCATGGCCCTGCTAACAACTTGACTGAAGACTCCTGGCCCCCAGAACAGTGGGGGAATAAATTCATGTTGTTTAGGCCACCTAGTCTGTGGTGACTTTCTATAGAAGCCTGGGGACCTGAATATGCTGGGATTGCCAGGTCCCCCCGCACTGTGAAGGAGCTGGCTTGATGAAAGGGTGAAATGGCCTTTTGAAGACACAAGCGCCTTGCTGGGTGGGAATCTTACTCCCCAGGAGGCAGGGTGCAAATGCTCCGCTCGGTGGCCAGTGTGTGGTTCTATTTTTCCACAACCAGGGTTCATGGGCTGGAATTAGAATGACTTCTCCCATGATTTCTCCCTGAGCTCTGCTACTGACACATGTTCTTCCTGTCCCTGAAACTTTAGGATCTGCTGATCTGAGGTCTTAGCTCCCTGGCGGGATGCTCCCATCTCAGGACATACCCCCACAGGACTGGTTCACTGGGCTGGCAGTGGAGTCAACCCCATTAGCACTCTGAGCACTTCCTGTCAGGGGAGCTTGAACCAGCAAAGAAGGGGGTCACTGTACTGGCTGGAATGCTTAGCCCCAACTATCCAGGGGAAATTAGGTTGCTTCTAAACAATGAGGGCAGGGAAGAATATTCTAGAATACAGGCAGGAATGCGAATGGCTCAGACCCTTCCGGAATAAAGGTTTGGGTCACCCCACCAGGCAAGGAACATAAACTGCAGGGTACTTGCTGAGAGCAGAGGGTTAGCGATGGATGGCAAGAGAATGCGGTCATGAATGCCAGCTCCAACGGTCACTGAAACAAAGGCAGGAATAGTTACGGACATAACGTTTTCTTCCTCTCCTCTTCCATGATATAAGATGTGTCAGTGGTAGTTATCCTGCTGTCTCAGTGTTTAAGTTTTAGGGTATCAGAGGGCTGACTCAGTCAGAAAGAGAACAAACATCTCGAAAGATGTAAAGGGGACGTTACAACCCCTTTGGGGAACAAGTTGGTCCATCATTGGTTGTACAGGTGATTACTACAAGCCATACTGGATGAAAGCGTGATTTTGTTACTACCTTTCCCTGAAAGTTAAGTGTGGTTCAAGGGGTGTGGAGTGCATGGCCAACAGGAGCGGCTGTGCTGACCTTGTACCTAACCAGCTTGATTCAGTAGGGGAGAAACTTCCCTGAGTTCCCTTCCCTATGTGGTCTGGGTTGGAATTGGCCACAGACATTTTGAGAAGGATTGAGAAGGCAGAAGGGAAACAAGAACCTTATTTTTGTGTCCAGAAGGTCAGTGCTGGGTGCCCTGGCAGCTTGCAATCGTTGACCTTGGCTGGGCAGCTCACAGCCTCACAGCCCCCTGGCTGCCACCAGGTCCTCTCCTGCACCTTCTTGGAATCCTGATCCAAGTGCATTGTGGGTCTGTGGAGAAGGAGTTCCCACAGCATTGACTTGGAGGCGGTGAGAGATAGACTTGGGTTCCGGTTTGTGCTGAGAGTCGGGCTGTCTTCATAGGGTCCCCTCGTGGGTTTCAGCCATGTTTGCTCTTGTCTGTACCTGTTCACCTAACCCTCCCTGGGTGGCTGAGCCATGGTAACTTCTGGCCTGACTGCCATTCAGGGCTTCACACAGCTCCCCCAGCTCTCACAGTCATGTGAGGTCCAAAACCTAAAATAAACTCCTTATTCTATTTCACTAGTAGCAGTTCTGTTTCTCCAATCACATTCTGATTGATATATCTGCCTTTGTATTCCATTTTTCTGGAATTCTTATTACCTCTTGGATTATCTATTTTTCTTACTTACTTTTATAGTTTGGCACTTTTATTGAGGTTTTCAGTTTTGCTATCATATTGTTTAGAACTTTTATATTATGGGAAATAAACGATTTATTTAAACATGTGCAAAAGTCAAGAGAATGCTGTAATGCGCCTTCCACCAAGCTTGGTATTTGTAAGCTCTTGATCGCCAGCATTTCCTCTGTCCTCCCATTCACTTCCTCCTGCACTGCAGAGTCTTTCGAGGTTTTCCTAACATGGTCTTATTTCCGAAAGCATTTTGGTTCTCTGATGGTTCTCAGAGCAATCTGCTTTCAGCTCATTGATGCACTTTTCTCTCTCATGTCTCCAGATACTAGTGATGGTTTTCAGTTGTTACCTTCCGAGGAGCCTCCATGTCCTCAGAGCTGTTTGAGCAGTTTGTTCACCGTGGCCTCTCTCTGCGTGGCAGAGGGCTCCTCCCTGCATCTGCCTGTCTTTGCTGTCTGCTCACATTTTAGAGTAGGACTCCCAAAAGCTGGTTGAAGGCCGAGGGGGTGACGGGGGCCTGTGGACTCTGATCTTCGACGTGGGATGAATGATTGAGCTGAGTTGTTTTCTTAGGAAAACTCCAACGTCTGCATCCCCCGATGAAAGCAGGATAGGGACGGGTTCTCCAACTCTGCCCTTTAGGTTCCCTTTGGGGGAAGAACCCAGCATGTGAACGTGCACGCAGTGCAGGCCATGCACCTACCTACACGCAAGGGGCGTCCCTAGAGTCTAATGTCCGGTTGCTGGAGAGGGGTCTGCTGGTCTGATTTTCTTAAAAAAAAAAACAGATTTTCAAGGGATTCTTCTGTTTTTGGGTGTCACCTTCATCCTCACTTTTAATGGTGCCAGTGCCTCCGATTCTAAGCCTTTGGGGGTGTCCTGTGGTGTCACTGGGGTTGTCCCTTGGCTTTTGCAGGGCTGACTTAGAATTCAGCCTCCTCCGTCCTGTGGGTCATCTCTGCTTATCTACCTGCACTTCATCTTCCAAACTTCTGTTGCTGTTTGTCTTCTCCCATTCTCTTCTCCTTGGTAGGTTTATGCCCCTCAAACAATCCCTTTATTCTCATTGAAGTTGGGCTATGGGTGGATGGAGCCTAATGCACTCATCCGACACCCCGTCTTCAACTAGACACCCTGCCCTTCTGCAAGACAACCTGTGCGTGTGCCCTGGCAGCCTCAGCCAAAAGCAGCAGGGGAGTCGTTTCCTGGATGTTTGGAACAAGTCCATCAAAGAATATTTTTGAATTTCTATTATGTGCAGAGTACGACACTGTAAGAAACACTGAGGTGCATCCACAGTCCTTGCTGCACCCCCAGGATCCTGCCTGAGTGCTGTGGTGCTCTCCGCAGCACGCACCCACCTGCTGTCACTGCCGGCGCTGCATGCCCCGTGTGGCCCCTGGCCCTCCGCAGCTCCAAAGCACAAAGCTCCATCCTCAATATGCCACCCAACCACTGCCACCCCTGCCATTACTTTATTATTATTTTTCAGTCTCTTTGAATGCAGATTTCATTTTAGATTCATCCATGAATGCACTTTCATTTTATGTCCTTTTTTTAAGTTTGTTGTTGCTGTCGTTGTTGTTGTTTGAGACAAGGTCCGGCTCTATCACCCAGGCTGGAGCGCAGTGGTGTGATCTTGGCTCACTGCAACCTCTGCCTCCTGAGCTCAAATCATTCTCCCACCTCAACCTCCTAAGTAGCTGGTACTACAGGCAAGCACCACCACACCTGGCTCATTTTTGTATTTTTTGTAGAGATGGGGGATTCACCATGTTGCCCAGGCTGGTCTCAGACTCGTGAGCTCAGGCGATCCATCCTCCTCGGCCTCCCAAAGTGCTGGGATTACAGGTGTGGGCCACGAAGCCCAGCCACAATTTTTTTTTTAATTTAAAACTTTTTATACTTAAAAAAATTGAGGTAAAATATACATGTAAAATTTACCATCTTTACTATTTTTAAGTGTGCAGTTCAGTGGTAATAAATACATTCATATGCTTCTTTTTAATCTCCCTTTCCCCTACTCTGTCATTACTTTATGCTATTTATTTATTTATTTATTTTTGAGATGGAGTCTTGCTCTGTTGGTCAGGCTAGAGTGCAGTGGTGTGATCTTGGCTCACTGCAACCTCCACTTCCCAGTTCAAGCAATTCTCCTACCTCAGCCTTCTGACTAACTGGGATTACAGGTGCATGCCAACACACCTGGCAAATTTTTTATTTTTATGTTTTGTATTTGTGGTAGATATGGGGTTTTGCCATATTGGCCAGGCTGGTCTCGAACTCCAGACCTCAAGTGATCTGCCCACCTTGGCCTCCCAAAGCTCTGGGATTACAGGTGTGAGCCACCACACCCAGCCTCTGTTATTACTTTAAATTGCACACTGAAATTTGGGTTGGAAACCTGGTGCAACTCTTCGGTTTAGATATTTGTTATGTGACTTGGTCAAAACTCTAAAACCTTCTGTTTCATTATTTCATATACAGATAACGGTATCCAAGCACACAGATATTTTGTGAAGAAAATAAATGACTAGACAGAAAGGAATTATAGAAAAAACATTATAAAAATACCATGTAAGTGTTAGTATAATTTTTTTTTTTTTGAGATAAGAGTCTCACTCTGTTGCCCAGGCTGGAGTGCAGTGGCACAGTCTCGGCTCACTGCAACCTCCACCTCCTGGGTTCAAGTGATTCTTCTGCCTCAGCCTCCTGAGTAGCTGGGATTACAGGCATGCACCACCACGCCTGGCTAATTTTTGTATTTTTAGTAGAGACGGGGTTTCACTAGGTTGGCCAGACTGGTCTCGAACTCCTGACCTTGTGATCCGCCCGCCTCGGCCTCCCAAAGTGCTGGGCTTACAGGCGTGAGCCACCACGCCTGGACCCTAGTATAAATTTGTTTTGTTTGGTTTTGTTTGGTTTGGTTTGGTTTGTTTTTTGAGACGGAGTCTCGTTCTGTCACCCAGCTGGAGTGCAGTGGCACGATCTTGGCTCACTGCAACCTCCGCCTCCCAGGTTCATGCGAGTCTCCTGCCTCAGCCTCCTGAGTAGCTGGGATTATAGGCACACACCACCACACTCGGCTAATTTTTGTATTTTTAGTAGAGACAGGGTTTAACTATGTTGGGCATACTGGTCTCGAACTCCTGACCTCGTGATCCGCCCACCTCGGCCTCCCAAAGTGCTGGGATTACAGGTGTGAGCCACCGCGCCCAGTCAGCTAGTATAAATTTTTTTAAAGGCAGACTCTGATTCTCTTGCTTAGGTGTTCTGCTTTATTTATTTATTTATTTATTTATTATTTTTTGAGACAGGGTCTTGCTCTGTTGCCCAGGCTGGAGTGCAGTGGTACAATCATGGCTCACTGCGGCCTCTACCTCTCGGGCTCAAGCAATCCTTCTGCCTGAGCCTCCTGAGTAGCTGGCATAGTGCCAGCCACTGTGCCTAGCTTGTGTGAGTATAATTAAAGCAACATCTCCAGTTTCAGCTTTAGTGGGACTTCAATACGCCTGGACATTTCTACAGTGCTGGTAAAAGAGACCACAAGAAGCTGCTTTACAAGAGAACGGAGGGAAATGGTGCAGCCGCTGTGGAAAACCAGGCAGCAATTTCTCAAGAGATGAAGCAGGAAGCAGCCATCTCACCCAGCAGCTCCATGCATTCCATGTAACTTCCAAGAAATGAAAATTTGCCAAAAGCTTGTGTACGAATGTTCATAGCCACACTATTCATGATAGCTAAAAGGTGGAAATAACCCAGATGCCTATTTACTCATGAAAGAATAAACTAATTGTGATAAAATGAAATACTGCATGGTAACTTGATGTGCTGACACAGGCTGCATTGTGGATGAGCCTTGAGAACACGCTCAGTGAAGAAAGACAGTCATAGAAGGCCAGGTCTTATGTGAGCCAGAATAGCAAAGTCCACAGACAGAGAAAGAGGCAGATCAATGGCTGTGTGGGGCCAGGGACACACACAGGTGTGTGTGAGGTGTGAGGGTGACAGCTAAAGGGCATGAGTTTCCTTTTGGAGTGGTGCAATGTTCTAAAGTTGGGTGCAGTGATGAAAATACTAAAATGTGCTATACTGTGGAATTGTGGCCGAGCGTGGTAGCTCATGCCTGGAATCCCAGCACTTTTGGAGGCTGAGGCTGGAGGCTCACTTGAAGCCAGGAGTTTGAGGCCAGCCTGGACAACATAGCAAGACCCTGTCTCTACAAAAAAAAAGAAAGTAAATTAGCTGGGTGTGTTGATGCATGCCTGTAGTCCTGGCTACTTGGGAGGCTGAGGCAGGAGGATCACTTGAGCCTGGAAGGTTGGGGCTGCAGTGAGCTCTGATCATGCCACTACACTCCAACCTTGGCAACAGAGAGACTCTGTCTCAAAAAATTAATAATCATAAAAACCCTGCTGAATTGTACACATTAAATGAGTGAATGCTATGCCATTTGAGTTGCATTTCAAAAAAGCTGTTACAAAAACATAGACCTGAGGGGCTCCTAGGACAAGAAGCTAAGGAAATCATCACCATGGGCTTAGCCCAGAAAGGGGGGCTTGGTTCCCGGAGGGCGGCTGCTCAGAGCCTGGCCCAGTGGATCTGTGACATGCCCACAGCCCACCCTCATCCAACCCACGCCTAAGCTCTGAAGAGGGCAGAGGGACCATCGGCCAAAATCTCAAGTGAGGGCTTTTGCTCCGGCAATTAAACTACCTGGAGCTGGACAGACAGAGCCAGGTCCTCGTGGCTGACGTGTCCTCGTTTCCAGGGCCAACGTCAGAGACTCGGGAGCTGTGCTGAGCAGAGCTGCGTCTGGAGTGGCCTCGCCCTGGGCTCTGAGGAAATGCAGCAAGGCAACACAACTGAGGACTGCGCCCTGGGGGCCCTTTCTCCCAGAGGCTCTGCCCAAGGCCAGCGTGATGTCCCAAGGGGCACAACTGCAGCTGTGACTACTGCCTGCCCTCCGGAGGACCCGCAGACCACAGCTGACCAATGGATGTGGAAGGGCTGGGGGCTGCCCTGGGAGGTCTGATGAAAGTCTGTGGGGATGCCTGAGTGTCTTCCAGCACCGGCTGGGATTTAATGCGGCTCAGTTCAAAAGCCCACGGCCGAGACTGTCAAGGCTGGCCATTGCATCTTGGCCAACCTGGGCGGTACACCCCACTCTGAGGTGTACCTTGAAACAGTCGAGAAAACCCGGGGAGGCATAAAGGACTTCTCTTGACTGTTTCAAGGAACACCTTGAAGTGTATGCTTGATTGTACACACCTGGGCACAGATGCACCCCTGGCCTTCTCTGCAGCCTATGGTGGGGGAACTGGCAGCAGAGAAGGGCCACGGGTGGTGATTTGCTTTCTATGTCAACTGGAAGGGCAAACAGTGATTTCAAACATTACTTTCAGCAATGTTATGAACTTAATCTCAAAAAGCCTCAGAAAATTTCTTACCTGACAAATTCATCTCTGAAAACCAACCATCCACTGTCAATGAGAAGGCATAAAATTTGAGAAAAGACAAAAAACCTGTGTCATGTGACACAGAAGATCACGGTCACATGGCAGGGTGCCACAAACAGCAGCGGTGGCAGTGACTCATGCAGTCAGCCCTGCCCGGGGCCGCTGGGTGCCCACCGTGGTGACAGCACCCGGGACTTCCTGCTGGAATCACACAGCATCACTCACCAACTTCTAGGCCGAAAAACAAAACCAAACCACAAACGAAAACTAAGACAGCAGGTCCTACCAGAGGGAGATGCGACGTACACTGTAGGAACGGAGTTCTGACCCACTTTGGTCCTGACCTCTTACAAAGATGGCGCCCCCCGGCGTGGCACGATTCCCGCCTCTTCCAGCGTTCTCTCCAGCAGCGCAGCAACGCACTTGCCCGATGACCTCCCGCTGCGAGATACAGGCGGGAGCCTCACCGCACAGAGACGGCCCCACCGCGGGGCGCGCACGTCGCCTCCAGGGCCTCCTCCAGTCCTCATCTTCTCCTTGGGAGTTCGGGTGCCCTGTGACACGAGCACCTCCCATTCTCCCGGAAAACCTTCCGCAGGATTTGGGCCACTTCCGGATGTTTTTGCTCCAGGAGTGCCACAGAGCGCCTCTCCCGTAGCTGGAGTTAACAGACGGGGCCAGCGCCAGGAACACATGAATTTGGGGTCAACCCCGGGAAGCCGGGAAGGCAAAGCCTGGGGACTCTCTCAGGAGGTCGGGACACAGAACAGGCTTAGCAGCTGCGGGACCCGCGCTTGGCCATTTTTATCTTGCTGAAAATGGTGAGTGTACCTGAGCGTCTACTTAGTTAACAGTCTCTACGTGATTTTCATAAGCGTTTATATAAAAAGTGGCAAACACGTCTAAAACATTATATTAAACGGTGTCGAAGAGTAACAGGTCAGATTAGGGCTTCTGCGGTTCTGAGAAATCTTATCACTTGATTGACGGCAGAGGCCCGTGAGGCCCGGCAGGCAGGAGCTGGGTCTCAATCACAGGGCTAGCGGCTGCTGCGAAAGAGCAAGGACTTGGAGGTCGACTTGGGCCTGAATCTCGCTTAGTGTGTGTGTGGTCAGAAACACACGGCATGCAATGTACCTTCTCAGCTCTTGCTAAGTGTGCACTGCAGTGGTGTCGACTCTGCTCACATTGTTGTTCAGCAGATCTCTCTCTGTGATCTTGCAAATCTGAAATCCTCTACCTGTCGGGCAACACTCCCAGTCCCCCTCCCACAGCTGGTGATCACCACTCTACTTTCAGCCTCCAACAGTTTGACTACTGTAGACACCTGGATGTGAGTCCTGTCCGTGGCTTGCTGGCTGTGGGCCTAATTGTGAGTCCCGTCTGGCCCCTCCCTGGGTCTGTGCCCTCACCGTGCCTGACTCAGCGGAGGCCATGCTGCCCTACTCCCTCCAGCTCACAGGGCAAGGCACGTGCTGGACCCGGCCCCCTTCGCCCCTTCTCATGCTGTCGCTCCAGTGGGCTGAACCCTGCTGCCCCCGCAGTTTCTGCTCCTTCGCGGGTCCTCCCCTCGAGGCTGCCCTCCCTGCAGCTGAGACTGACTCTGGTTGCTCTCTGGAAACCTGCTTGTCACCTGCCCCGGTTCCGTGCAGCCTCCACTCAGACTCTGTCTGCCCTGGGTCTCCTGCTGACCCTGGCTGTTGGTTTCAAGTCGCAGGCTGGACACTATTCCTGGAAGAGGGCTGCCTGGTACTCATGTCTCTGACGCCGGGTGGACCCCTCCTTCCCCCCACAGCACCGGGCAAGCCTCTGTCGCTTGCTTCCTGTTGGCATTGTGCCTTGATTATCAGCAGAAGCTGCTGGAATCGAATTCCTGCCTTCCCCACCTGGCTCAGGACCTGACACAGGTTAGGGTCTCCACAGACATTGTCAGGACCTCGGATCCTCCCACCTCATTGTGAGATATTTGTGCCCGTAATACTACAGGGTGACTAATTTTCCCCTTCGTAGTACTCATGTCTGCTATTTGTTCCAGCCCTTATTATGTGAAAAATTAACACCTGCTCCTTTTCCTCTCCTTGTCATTCCCGAAGATATCTGCGGGTGCTGTGTGAGCATCTTAGAGACATTCTCAACCTTGTACTTCTCACCCTGGCTGGCTAAATCTCTCAGTCAATTTGACCTCAGATGTCATATCTGATATTGCTAATCTATGAAAATACATCTCTGAATTTAGGGACAATGACAAGTGCCACATCAGATGTCTCCTAATTCATAATTTATAGGTGTCTCATTCATAACTGCCTCTCCTCCCATTCCAAACTCACTGAATATGCAGGAGAGGAGAAGCAGCAATTATTTATAATAACTTTATTAGCTATAATTTGCATCTATCTTCTGAAAGGATAGAGTGATGTTTCTGGGAGCTGCATATTAAACACAAGTGCTTCTACTTGACCTTGCCCCAATTCATTCCACACACAGCAGTGTGTCTTTCTTCCTGGAAAGGATGGGTACAATTTGTCACCACACAAATTATACTGTACTTGCTGTTGACATTCTTTTATCAGATAAATTACTTGTACTTATTATGCTGAAGGCAGTTTCCATGAAAATTTGATATTGTGAAAATCTTAGTTTAAGTTGGGACTAAGAGGATTGGATCTCTTTCTACAATGGACAGAGAAATACCGGTCTTGATTACAGGTGTCCGTGACAGTTTTCTGGAATAAAAACCCAGATATTTTGTGTCTTCTAGTTTGCAGCACAGTTCAGGCATGTCCTGTGCCTCCAGCTGGCTGTCCTTCCATGTGGTGAGGCGTCGCACACACCTGGGCACAGATGCACCCCATCCTTCTCTGCAACCTGTGGTCGGGGAGCCGGAGGCAGAGAAGGGCCATGGGTGGCGATTTGCTTTCTACAACAACTGGAAGGGCAGAAAGTGATTCCAAACATGACTTACAGCAATGTTGTGAACTTAATCTCAAAAAGCTCCAGAAAACTTGTTACTAGCATGACAAAGTCATCTCTGAAAACCAACCATCCATTGTCAATGAGAAAAACGCACAAAATTTGAGGAAAGACAAAGAAAGCACTTGTTAGTGTTTTTCTGGAAAAAAAAAATCCCTTCTTGCCCAAGAGTAATATATGTTCATTATAGAGCTTTTTAAACTTCGAGGAAGTAAAAAAATTGAAATGAAAACTGTCCACATTTCTTTTGCCCAGAGATGGCCACTGTCAGCACTGTTGCAAGCCCTGCTCTCTCTCCTCTCCTTTTCTGTACGTACGTGTACTTTTAAAAATAAACATAGGCGTTTTCATTCCTCTTAAAAGATATGAAATTTCCTAATAGAAAATAAACTTAGTCTTCTCTTTAAAATGTTTACTCAAAAATTTTATCTTACACATTTGTATCGGATATGCATGTGTATAAATATTACTGATGAATTGTCAATAACGAAAAATGAATTTTCAGTAAAGACAACATTTTAACCTTCCTTTTCTTGTTTGTTGCTCTTTTGGCTCTTTATAATTAATCGAAATAATTTTTTTTTGTCTTTGGCACCTTTCTATTTTTTTTTTTTTTTTTTAGACGGAGTCTCGCTTTGTCGCCCAGGCTGGAGTGCAGTGGTGTGATCTTGGCTCACTGCAAGCTCCACCTCCCGGGTTCATGCCATTCTTCTGCCTCAGCCTCCCAAGTAGCTGGGACTACAGGCACCCACCACCATGCCTGGCTAATTTTTTGTATTTTTAGTAGAGACGGGGTTTCACTGTGTTAGCCAGGATGGTCTCGATCTCCTGACCTTGTGATCCGCCTGCCTCGGCCTCCCAAAGGGTATACCAGTTGTCTGAAGACAACATATTCAATCAATTTGAGTCATTTTCTTAGCTCTCTCTTTTGTATTTTAACTTCCTACACTAATTAAAATTAATAGCAAATAAAAATTTTAAGCTAGTCAGAACAGAAGCTATTTTCCTGAATTTTTTTTTCTAAGATTGGTAACATTTATCAGACTTTAAAATCTATGTAATATAAGTGACAGAATGACTTTGAAAAGAGACCAATGCTGTGAGTCCGTGTCGGGCAGCCCTTTAATAGACACAGGTCACTGCAGGTGGAAACTGTTACATTATGATTGTGTGTGTGTTAGTGTGTGTACCACACTTTACATGATATTGACTGCAAACCACTAGAAAGTACATACTTAGGACATGTCCAGTGACACCAGACTGTTGAGTCATCAGAGGCTGAAGGAGACCCTAACACGCTGAGGGCACCTGGGAGGTGACCAGGACCCACACCGTTCCTGGTTTGTTTAGACAAAGTAGATGAGGTCTCCGTTAAGCAGCCTGCAGGAACTCCCATGCTAGACTCAGCAGAGCTAGAAGCTTCTCAGAGACCCTTGTTTAGACATTGTGACAACGCCTAACGGGACTTCTTCCCCATGTTTCTCATTAGGAATAGCAATTTAAGCTGTAGTGTAAGACATTTCTTATTATGGGTTTATAGCTATTAATATGACAATGAAAGATAATCTTTCTTAGGCCACATCTTGTATGATTCCATTTAGGTGAAATGTCCAGAATCAGTGAATTCGATAGAGACAGAAAGGAGATGAGTGGTTGCTAGGAGTGGGGGATGGGGTTGGGGTTGGGGTTGGGGTTGGGGTGGGGGTGGGGGATGGGGGATGGGGTGAGGGTTGGGGTGGGGGTTGGGGTGGGGGTTGGGTGGGGGTTGGGGTGGGGGATGTGGGTGGGGGATGGGGTGGGGGTTGGGGTGGAGGATGCGGTGAGGGTTGGGGTGGGGGTTGGGGTGGGGGTTGGGTGGGGGTTGGGGTGGGGGATGTGAGTGGGGGATGGGGTGGGGGTTGGGGTGGAGGATGCGGTGAGGGTTGGGGTGAGGGTTGGGGTGGGGGTTGGGGTGGGGGTCGGGGTGAGGGTTGGGGTGGGGGTTGGGGTGGGGGATGGGATGGGGGATGGAGTGGGGTTGGGGTGTGACTGCGTGACTGCTAATGGGAATGGTGTTTCTTTTTTTTTTTTTTTTTGAGTCGGAGTCTTGCTCTGTTGCCCAGGCTGGGGTGCAGTGGTGCGATCTTGGCTCACTGCAAGCTCCGCCTCCCAGGTTCACACCATTCTCCTGCCTCAGCCTCCCGAGTAGCTGGGACTACAGGTGCCCGCAGCCACGCCTGGCTAATTTTTTGTATTTTTAGTAGAGACGGGGTTTCACCATGTTAGCCAGGATGGTCTCTATCTCCTGACTTCGTGATCTACCTGCCTCGGCCTCCCACAGTGCTGGGATTAAGGCGTCAGCCACTGCACCTGGCCGGTGTGGTGTTTCTTTCTGGGGTGAAGGAAATGCTCTAAAATGAAGTCATGGTGATGGCTACATAACTCTGTGAAGATATTAACCTATTAAGTTGTGGACTTTAGATGGGTGACTCCTACAGTATGTAATTTACATCAATAAAGACGTAAAAATCCTTCCTTTTGTCTAACATCTGTAGGGCTATGACTTACTCTGATGTCCTTGTTTACTCTAGCATGGAGTCAACGAGCTTATTATTTGATCTAGTCTCCATGATGGCTTGTTTGTTTACAGCTGAGCAAGTTTACATAGGGCAAAATTAAATTTTCATATTAATTGTGTAAAACAATGTCCAGATGCATTCAAAGTTTCCTTTATGTCAGAATGCAAAGATGTTTCTACTGCCTTTCATTTTTTAAAAAACTAAAAGTTTTAGTATGTGGCTTTTAGATATTTCATGACAGAAAATGTAATGTTTACTTATTCCAGATGTTGTCAGCTTCTGCAATATAAATGTAAATCAGAAAAAAGCAAGGTTACAGCCTAGCATTCTGTTATTATGTGTCAAACCACACATCATTACATCGTCTCATTTTCCATCTTTAGCTAGCTAGTTGTAAATAGTCTGGACTGTACCTTAAGAACCCGTTCTTCTATTATATTTAAGCTCTGAGTGGAAGTGGAGCTGAAGCAACTGGAAAGAGGAAAAGGGTTGGGCCAAGCTGTGCAGTAGGCAGGATGAGCCGGCAGCCTCGGTGCTGAGATTTGCTTATGTCTGGGAGTCACGGGCAACAAAAGGAGCCTCAGGGCCCGTTCCCTTCCTTGTCCACCTTTGTGGCCCTTCGATATTGTCTACAGATTGGGGTGGCCGTCTAAACAGAAGGTGCAAGGAGATCATTCGCTGTTTCAGATCCTCCTGATGCCCCGCTGTGCTCTGGGTGCGTGGCTGACACCTTCCTTCAACCACCAGCCCACGGGGCCTCCTGCGACACCTCCCACTGTCCCAGGGAGCGTGGCCACCATAGGCCAGGCCCCTGCACGACAGCTGCTGCCCCTCTGTCCAACTGACCCCGCCCCTTGGGTCTCACTGCCTTCAGGAGCCTCCTGGGAACTCCCACGTTTCTGGGTAAAGTCCCTCTTCATCCTTCTATAGACTGCATATTGTGTGATTCCATTTATATGAAACGTCCAGAATAAAAAGAAAGAGAGAGAGAGAGAGAGCATAGATTGCTGACGGCCGGGCTAGGCTGTGGGGGCTGCTCATCAGCATGGGGAGGACGCACCTCAGCTTTTGAGGCCTCTGCCCTTGGTGTGCTTCTACATCCCTGACCTTCCAGCCAAGCCAGGCCTGGCTGCTCTGGGATTTGTCACCTCCAGGCCTTTGTTTCTGGGGCCCCCCCCTTTCCCAGTCACCACTGAAATCCTGGCTCGAGTCCCCTTGGATGTCACTGCCTCCATGGTCACCGCTGAACTCCTGGCTCGAGTCCCCTTGGATGTCACTGCCTCCATGATCACCTCTGAAATCCTGACTCAAGTCCCCTTGGATGTCACTGCCTCCATGGTCACCGCTGAACTCCTGGCTCGAGTCCCCTTGGATGTCACTGCCTCCATGATCACCTCTGAAATCCTGACTCAAGTCCCCTTGGATGTCACTGCCTCCATGGTCACCGCTGAAATCCAGGCTCGAGTCCCCTTGGATGTCACTGCCTCCATGGTCACTGCTGAAATCCAGGCTCGAGTCCCCTTGCATGTCACTGCCTCATGGTCACATTCGGGGACTCTCTGCATTAGACATCTCTTCCTCCTCTGAACTCCCAGCACGTGGCAGAACTTCTCACGCAAGGCAGTCACATTTGTATTTTGTTATTTGTGCAGTTGTTGTATTCATTCTTTGCAGAAAGGAACTGTGTCTAATTTTCCTTAGTGTTCTCCAGTGACCACCGCACCTGCTGTAAGAGGTGCTTAGTAAGTACTTGCAGGGTTGAATGGTTAAGCTTTTCTCTCTCTTCCTCCTCATTGCAGTGTGGCTTGGGGGTGCTGTGAGCAGCACAGGTTGCTCCCGCTCTGCATCGCAGACTCCCTTGTTCACTTGAATTCCCCCTAGGGATTATACGTCATTTTTTTTGTTTGTTTGCCTTTTTGTTTTGTTTTGTTTTGTTTTGTTTTGAGATGCAGTCTTGCTCTATCGCCAGGCTGGAGTGCAGTGGTGCGATCTCGGCTCACTGCAACCTCTGCCTCCCAGGTTCAAGTGATTCTCATGCCTCAGCCTCCTAAGTAGCTGGGATTACAGGTGTGCGCTGCCACGCCCAGCTAATTTTTGTGTTTTTAGTACAGACAGGGTTCCACCATGTTGACCAGGCTGGTCTCGAACTCCTGACCTCAAGTGATTTGCCTGCCTTGGCCTCCCAAAGTGCTAGTATTACAGGCGTGAGCCACTGCACCAGCCTAGTATTATTTTTACCACATTTATTTTTTATTATAACTCTCACTCTACTGCAAATTTTTGACTGCAGAAACTTAATACCCATCAAAGATCATGACAAATTTATGTTCAGATGTATTTTAAGGAGTAGTGATACCATTATGAAATTTGGGAAGCTAACACAGCTCAGTGTTTAAGAGTTAATGCCCTGCAGTGAGACCTCTGGGTTTTACTCCCTTTCATTCCACTTAGCAGCCATGTGATCTTGAGCAGGTTTTAAATTTGGAGTATCGGTTTCCTTATCCAAAGAGTGGGGATGATAATAGTACTAACTTCAAAAGATTTATGTGAGAATTAAATAACAGAATGCAAATAAAGCATTTAGCAGAGTGCCGACTCATTAGTAAATGATAATAGCTGCTGGAGATGATCACAACCCATTGCCTCAACTTATGGCCATGTCTCCTCTAAGGCGTCTCCTCTCCATCGTCTCTTCAGTTCAGACATTTATGTTGCTGAGCATCGTGTCATGTATCAGGTCTGCCTCACAGGAGACAACAGAGTGCAAGATAGGGCATCAGAATGATGTCACAGTCCCCAGACTATACTGATGTTCCACGAGAACCTTAGCATGCAGTGCCAGCCATGAGAAACTTAGCAGTATAGTACTATCCATGAGAAAGTACCACCCACGAGAACCTTAGCAGTATAGTACTATCCACCAGAAAGTACCATCCACGAGAACCTTAGCATAGGGTACCATCCACGAGAACCTTAGCAGTATAGTACTATCCACGAGAAAGTACCATCCACGATAACCTTAGCAGTATAGTACCATCCACAAGAAAGTACCATCCACGAGAACCTTAGCATAGAGTACCATCCACGAGAACCTTAGCAGTATAGTACTATCCATGAGAAAGTACCATCCACAAGAACCTTAGCATAGAGTACCATCCACAAGAACCTTAGCATGCAGTACCACCCACGAGAACCTTAGCATAGGGTAGCAGCCACGAGAACCTTAGCAGTATAGTACTATCCACGAGAAAGTACCATCCACGAGAACCTTAGCATAGAGTACCATCCACAAGAACCTTAGCATGCAGTACCAGCTTAGCATAAAGTAGCAGTATAGTACTATCCATGAGAAAGTACCATCTGAGAACCTTAGCATAGAGTACCATCCACGAGACTTAGCATAAAATACCATCTGAGAACCTTAGCATAAAGTACCATCTGAGAACCTTAGCATAGAGTACCATCCATGAGAACCTTAGCATAGAGTACCATCCATGAGAACCTTAGCATAGAGTACCATCCACGAGAACCTTAGCATAGAGTACCATCCACGAGAACCTTAGCATAGAGTACCATCCACGAGAACCTTAGCGTAGAGTACCATCCATGAGAACCTTAGCATACCATACCATCCATGAGAACCTTAGCATAAAGTACCATCTGAGAACCTTAGCATAGAGTACCATCCACGAGAACCTTAGCATATAGTACCATCAGAGCCTTAGCATAGAGTACCATCCATGAGAACCTTAGCATAGAGTACCATCCACGAGAACCTTAGCATACCATACCATCCATGAGAACCTTAGCATAAAGTACCATCTGAGAACCTTAGCATAGAGTACCATCCATGAGAACCTTAGCATACCATACCATCCATGAGAACCTTAGCATAAAGTACCATCTGAGAACCTTAGCATAGAGTACCATCCACGAGAACCTTAGCATATAGTACCATCAGAGCCTTAGCATAGAGTACCATCCATGAGAACCTTAGCATAGAGTACCATCCACGAGAACCTTAGCATACCATACCATCCATGAGAACCTTAGCATAAAGTACCATCTGAGAACCTTAGCATAGAGTACCATCCACAAGAACCTTAGCATGTGGTACCATCAGAACCTTAGCATAGAGTACCATCCACGAGAACCTCAGCATAGAGTACCATCCACGAGAACCTCAGCATAGAGTACCATCCACGAGAACCTCAGCATAGAGTACCATCCACGAGAACCTCAGCATAGAGTACCATCCACGAGAACCTTAGCATAGAGTACCATCCACGAGAACCTTAGCATAGAGTACCATCCACGAGAACCTTAGCATAGAGTACCATCCACGAGAACCTTAGCATACCATACCATCCATGAGAACCTTAGCATAAAGTACCATCTGAGAACCTTAGCATAGAGTACCATCCATGAGAACCTCAGCATAGAGTACCATCCACGAGAACCTCAGCATAGAGTACCATCCACGAGAACCTCAGCATAGAGTACCATCCACGAGAACCTTAGCATAGAGTACCATCCACGAGAACCTTAGCATAGAGTACCATCCACGAGAACCTTAGCATAGAGTACCATCCACGAGAACCTTAGCATACCATACCATCCATGAGAACCTTAGCATAAAGTACCATCTGAGAACCTTAGCATAGAGTACCATCCATGAGAACCTCAGCATAGAGTACCATCCACGAGAACCTCAGCATAGAGTACCATCCACGAGAACCTTAGCATACAGTACTTTCTACAAGAACCTTTGCATATAGTACTATCCACTATTATCAGAGTGTGCACCAGCCTCTTCCTTCTCCTTTCGTTGTGAAAAGCTGCAGATGCACTTTGTGGATGTTTCATTCCATAGAGGGAGCTGTTCACAAATGCTCAGCACTCCCAGGAAGGAGGGAAGGAGAGTGTCCTCCTAACACCAAAAATATCTCAAAATAAAAAAATCCTCATTAAAGAATATTCACACTCATGAGTTAAGAAAAATAAAAGGAGAAATTGCCTGGAATAAATTCAGATCACCCTTTGATTCTGTCCACTGAGACGTATAAGTAACTGCTCCATTAAACAGAGGCAGCATAGACCAGAATGGAGGCTGCAGCTCACAGCCTGGGCTCCCTGCCCAGTGAGCTGCGCCCAGCCAGCCTCAAGTACGGTGCTCACCTGTTCTCAGCAAACAGCTGGATAATAGGCACCAAAGTTATTTTTCAATGTAATACAAAAACATAAAATCATATGTTGACAAGTCTTTCCCTCCCTAGAGAAAAGAAAGGATGATGTCAAAACATCAGACAAACAAAATAAAACTCCAGACATGGGGGCAGCCAGATTCATGACAAGAAGCCACACTATTTCAAAATGATTTTCCATAAAATTAAAATATAATGCATGAACATTTAAACTTATGTTTGCTAGCACTTACACAAACACCTGTGGATATAGATGCCATTTACTTGAATCCATATTAAATATCCATATTAAATAAATAACTTCAGTATTTTGTCCTCATGGTGGGAACATGACAAGGCCACTCAAAGAAACCCATCGCAGGGAGCAAGCCCTCTCACTCACCACTGGAAAGAACATAGAGAGTGACATCCCCTGGAAGGCTCTGAGACATGGCGGAGTGGAAGACTGCTTCTGGAGCCAGGATGCCTGGGTGGAAACTGACAGTCTCCTGGAAGGCTCTGAGATATGGGGGCTATGAGGAATGCTTCTGGAGCCACGATGCCTGGGTGGAGGGTGACATCCCCTGGAAGGCCTGAGACATGGTGGAGGGGAGGACTGCCTCTGGAGCCAGGATGCCTGGGTGGAAACTGACAGTCCCCTGGAAGGCTCTGAGATATGGTGGCCATGAGGAATGCTTCTGGAACCACAATGCCTGGGTGGAGGGTGGCAGTCCCTTGGAAGGCTCTGAGATATGGTGGAGGGGAGGACTGCTTCTGGAGCCAGGATGCCTGGGTGGAAACTGACAGTCCCCTGGAAGGCTCTGAGATATGGCGGAGGGGAGGACTGCTTCTGGAGCCAGGATGCCTGGGTGGAAACTGACAGTCCCCTGGAAGGCTCTGAGATATGGTGGCCATAAGGAATGCTTCTGGAGCCATGATGCCTGGGTGGAGGGTGACAGTCCCCTGGAAGGCTCTGAGACATTGCAGAGGGGAGGACTGCTTCTAGAACCAGGATGCCTGGGTGGAGGGTCGCAGTCCCCTGGAAGGCTCTGAGACATTGCAGAGGGGAAGACTGCTTCTAGAACCAGGATGCCTGGGTGGAGAGTGAGAGCTGTGAAAGGCTCTGAGATATGGCAACCATGAGGACTGAATCTAGAACCAGGATGCCTGGGTGGAGGGTGAGAGTCGTGGAAGGCTCTGAGATATGGCAGCCATGAGGACTGAATCTAGAACCAGGATGCCTGGGTGGAGGGTGAGAGTCGTGGAAGGCTCTGAGATATGGCAGCCTTGAGGACTGAATCTAGAACCAGGATGCCTGGGTGGAGGGTGAGAGTCATGGAAGGCTATGAGACATGGCAGCCATGAGGACTGAATCTAGAACCAGGATGCCTGGGTGGAGGGTGAGAGTTGTGGAAGGCTCTGAGATATGGCAGCCTTGAGGACTGAATCTAGAACCAGGATGCCTGGGTGGAGGGTGAGAGTCATGGAAGGCTATGAGACATGGCAGCCATGAGGACTGAATCTAGAACCAGGATGCCTGGGTGGAGGGTGAGAGTTGTGGAAGGCTCTGAGATATGGCAGCCTTGAGGACTGAATCTAGAACCAGGATGCCTGGGTGGAGGGTGAGAGTCATGGAAGGCTATGAGACATGGCAGCCATGAGGACTGAATCTAGAACCAGGATGCCTGGGTGGAGGGTGAGAGTCATGGAAGGCTATGAGACATGGCAGCCATGAGGACTGAATCTAGAACCAGGATGCCTGGGTGGAGGGTGAGAGTCATGGAAGGCTATGAGACATGGCAGCCATGAGGACTGAATCTAGAACCAGGATGCCTGGGTGGAGGGTGAGAGTCATGGAAGGCTCTGAGACATGGCAGCCATGAGGACTGAATCTAGAACCAGGATGCCTGGGTGGAGGGTGAGAGTCATGGAAGGCTATGAGACATGGCAGCCATGAGGACTGAATCTAGAACCAGGATGCCTGGGTGGAGGGTGAGAGTCGTGGAAGGCTCTGAGACATGGCAGCCTTGAGGACTGAATCTAGAACCAGGATGCCTGGGTGGAGGGTGAGAGTCGTGGAAGGCTATGAGACATGGCAGCCATGAGGACTGAATCTAGAACCAGGATGCCTGGGTGGAGGGTGAGAGTCGTGGAAGGCTATGAGACATGGCAGCCATGAGGACTGAATCTAGAACCAGGATGCCTGGGTGGAGGGTGAGAGTCGTGGAAGGCTATGAGACATGGCAGCCATGAGGACTGAATCTAGAACCAGGATGCCTGGGTGGAGGGTGAGAGTCGTGGAAGGCTATGAGACATGGCAGCCATGAGGACTGAATCTAGAACCAGGATGCCTGGGTGGAGGGTGAGAGTCGTGGAAGGCTCTGAGACATGGCAGCCATGAGGACTGAATCTAGAACCAGGATGCCTGGGTGGAGGGTGAGAGTCATGGAAGGCTATGAGACATGGCAGCCATGAGGACTGAATCTAGAACCAGGATGCCTGGGTGGAGGGTGAGAGTCATGGAAGGCTATGAGACATGGCAGCCATGAGGACTGAATCTAGAACCAGGATGCCTGGGTGGAGGGTGAGAGTCGTGGAAGGCTATGAGACATGGCAGCCATGAGGACTGAATCTAGAACCAGGATGCCTGGGTGGAGGGTGAGAGTTGTGGAAGGCTATGAGACATGGCAGCCATGAGGACTGAATCTAGAACCAGGATGCCTGGGTGGAGGGTGAGAGTCATGGAAGGCTCTGAGACATGGCAGCCATGAGGACTGAATCTAGAACCAGGATGCCTGGGTGGAGGGTGAGAGTCATGGAAGGCTATGAGACATGGCAGCCATGAGGACTGAATCTAGAACCAGGATGCCTGGGTGGAGGGTGAGAGTTGTGGAAGGCTCTGAGACATGGCAGCCATGAGGACTGAATCTAGAACCAGGATGCCTGGGTGGAGGGTGAGAGTCATGGAAGGCTATGAGACATGGCAGCCATGAGGACTGAATCTAGAACCAGGATGCCTGGGTGGAGGGTGAGAGTCGTGGAAGGCTATGAGACATGGCAGCCATGAGGACTGAATCTAGAACCAGGATGCCTGGGTGGAGGGTGAGAGTCATGGAAGGCTATGAGACATGGCAGCCATGAGGACTGAATCTAGAACCAGGATGCCTGGGTGGAGGGTGAGAGTCATGGAAGGCTATGAGACATGGCAGCCATGAGGATTGAATCTAGAACCAGGATGCCTGGGTGGAGGGTGAGAGTTGTGGAAGGCTCTGAGACATGGCAGCCATGAGGACTGAATCTAGAACCAGGATGCCTGGGTGGAGGGTGAGAGTCATGGAAGGCTATGAGACATGGCAGCCATGAGGACTGAATCTAGAACCAGGATGCCTGGGTGGAGGGTGAGAGTCGTGGAAGGCTATGAGACATGGCAGCCATGAGGACTGAATCTAGAACCAGGATGCCTGGGTGGAGGGTGAGAGTTGTGGAAGGCTATGAGACATGGCAGCCATGAGGACTGAATCTAGAACCAGGATGCCTGGGTGGAGGGTGAGAGTCATGGAAGGCTCTGAGACATGGCAGCCATGAGGACTGAATCTAGAACCAGGATGCCTGGGTGGAGGGTGAGAGTCATGGAAGGCTATGAGACATGGCAGCCATGAGGACTGAATCTAGAACCAGGATGCCTGGGTGGAGGGTGAGAGTTGTGGAAGGCTCTGAGACATGGCAGCCATGAGGACTGAATCTAGAACCAGGATGCCTGGGTGGAGGGTGAGAGTCATGGAAGGCTATGAGACATGGCAGCCATGAGGACTGAATCTAGAACCAGGATGCCTGGGTGGAGGGTGAGAGTCGTGGAAGGCTATGAGACATGGCAGCCATGAGGACTGAATCTAGAACCAGGATGCCTGGGTGGAGGGTGAGAGTCATGGAAGGCTATGAGACATGGCAGCCATGAGGACTGAATCTAGAACCAGGATGCCTGAGTTTGAATTTCATCTCCACCACTTTCTCCTTTGGTGACCCTAGCCAAAGTATTTCACTTCTTTATCACTTGCTTTCTTCATCTGTAAGATGGGGATAATAATAGTCCCAATTTTATAGGTTGTTAGAAGGAATAAATGACTCATGATTTCTGAAGTTCTTAGAACAGTGCGAATATTGTATGAAGTATTATATAAGGTAAGCCCTATAAGTGCTTGTGGAATGGAAAGCCTTCAGAAATTAAAAAACGAAAACAGAGAAACCCGTGCAATCACTGCACTTTTTTATTTTTACCTTTTGGCCAGCCCAGTGGGAGCTGGATAAGCACATTTTAGCTTCTTGTAGTAGGATCACATCATTACAGAGCCCCATATAAACACAACAACCTTCCTGGTGTGATCATGGCAACCGTGGGGAGCACCTCGATCTATACCCACACCACAGAACGCACCGCAGAAGCAATCAACACAGGCCCAACAGCAGTGCATGTTTTTAGAACTAGACCCCTAAAGCAAGAAACAAAACTCTAGGCCCAGCATGATATTGCCCTAATTATGTCACGTGGGGATCTGTTTATATGTAGGTAATGTATATATCAAGAAAGACTGGAAAGAAATGCACACAAATGTTAGCCAAAATATTTAACAGTAGTGGGACTTGGGATGATTTTACTCCTTTTTATTTTTATTTATATTTGCCATGTGTTCTACAATGAACATGAATAGTATCAAAATTTGAAAGGAAAAAACTTTTAAAAGTGGGAGTTCTTCAAGGGGAAATTTTTCTTTTTAATTTCCTAGTAAAAAATAAAAATGTGAAGTTCAGAAACCCTTGTGGCGAAACACATATAATTTGTAAAAAACCCCTAAAATGAAGACGATGATGGGTTCTTTTCTGAGAACATGCAGGGAGGAAGGCATGGTCCTCTGCCAGGGGTCGGGGTCTCACCAGGTAGGAGGCGGGGCTCAGCATTGTTGATATGGTTTGGATGTGTGTCCCCGCCCAAATCTCATGTTGAATTGTCATCCCCAATGTTGGAGGAGGGGCCTGGGAGGAGGTGATGGGATCATGGAGGTGGCTTTCCCCCTTGCTGTTCCTGTGATGGTGAGTGAGTTCTTGTGAGATCTGGTTGTTGAAAAGTGTGTGGCACCTCCCGCTTCACTCTCTTCCTCCTTCTCCGGCCATGTGAAGACATGCCGGCTTCTTCTTTGCCTTCCGCCATGACTGTAAGTTTCCTGAGGCCTCCCCAGCCATGATTCCTGTACAGTCTGAGGAACCATGAGCCAGTTAAACCTCTTTTCTTCATAAATTACCCAGTTTCAGGTGGTTCTTCATAGCAGTGAGAGCACGGACTAATACAGTTGTCTACCCAACCCTCTGGCCCAGGGCTGGAGCTGGGGCATGAGACAACAGTCTTTGCCTTGAAACAGAAATGTTGACCTTTGTCAGCCCTGTGGCCAAAGTGGAAATTTCAGACCATGTGGGAATCGCAGGATTTGTCCTCCATCCGTGCATCATATTTTATTATGTTGGCAAAAATTATTTGTGCACTAACCAAATACTTGGTTACGTGTGCCTGGTTAATAAAGACTCATTACATTATAAATGGTGGATGTTAAAGAGATGTACTGGCCGGGCACAGTGGCTCACTTGTGTAATCCCAGCACTTTGGGAGGCTGAGGCAGGCGGATCACGAGGTCAGGAGTTAGAGACCAGCCTGACCAACATAGTGAAACCCCATCTCTACTAAAAATACAAAAATTAGCTGGGTCTGGTGGTGCATGCCTGTTATCCCAGCTACTCAGGAGGCGGAAGGCAGGAGAATCGCTTGAATCCAGGAGGCGGAGGTTGCAGTGAGCCAAGATCGTGCCACTGCACTCCAGCCTGGGCAACAGAGTGAGACTCCATTTCAAAAAAAAAAAAAAAGTAATCGTGAAACCTGCTTTTGTCAATCTTGATTATGTTGATTAAAGTATGAAAATTGGGCTCTTCCTATGATGTCAACAAATAATTGTTCAGGAATGCGAAATGTGGGCAACTAGGCACACATTCTTTTCACACTGGCTCTCAGCCACCTAGGAATATGAGGATGTGGCTGTTGGGACAACTAAACAGAAGATGACTTGTGTTTCCTTCAGAAGGTCCCAGACACAGCCATGGGATTTAAAAGTTGAAGAGATCATCACATTCTCACCCATCTCATTTCATAATTTTATGTAGGCTGAGGCGTGAAGTGAGGGGGCACCATTGCTTGAGTGAGAAGCATTTGCTGAAGATCCGTCAGACCCAGCAAGTGGCAGACCACAGCCTACATGCCTGCACGTGCTCACCGTGCACATTCCAGGACAGCACTGTCAGCAGAGAGCACCTGCGGACTCAGCTGCGGCTCTCCTGCCTCCCTCTACACACTCGTCAACGCCACTGCCTCAGCCCCCAGAGACAAGTGTCAGTCGCCCAGAGATCATTCCAACCAGCCCTGCCAGGCATTATTTTCACATCACAGCTCACTTTTCTGAATTCCAAGTCCCAGTTTTGTTTCTCTCAGGTCTGTTATCCTGTGGGCCTTTACTAATTTATGTGGTTGAATTATAGGATTGGAAGGAATGAACATGAAAGAAATTCAAGCTCTACGATTTCTATGGAAAAATTGAATTATGGCAAAATTTACAACTTTCGTGTTTTAAAGGTCGCTATTGAGAAAGCAAAAACACAACCCACAGAATGGAAAAAGAAATATTTGAAAACCATATGTCTAACAAGGGATTTGCATCTAGAAAATATAAAGAACCCTACAACTCACTAATAAGAAGATAAATGACCCAAATAACAAACGGGCAAAAGACTTGAATAGACATTTGTCCAAAGAAGATGTGGAAATGGTCAACATGCACATGAGAGGATGCTCAACATTGGCCATTAGGAAAATGCCAATCAAAGTCATAATGAGGCAACAGTTTACACTCATCAGGATGACTACAGTGAGAAAGACAGACAATAACAAGTGTTGGCAAAGATGGAGAGAAATTGGAACTCACATATACTGCTGGTGGGAATGCAAAATGGTGCCTTTGCTTTGGAAAGCAGTCTGGCAGTTCCTTAAAGGGTGAAATGTAGACATCATTTAACATACCTATTCCACCCCTTGGGATATACCCATGAGAAAAGAAATATGTCCACACGAAAACTTGTACATGAATATGTATAGAAGCATTAGTAATAATAATCAAAAGGTGAAAACAACCCAAATGTTCATCCTGATGAATGGGTTACAAAATGTGGTATATCCACATAGTGGAATGTTACTCACCATGAAAAGGAATGAGGCACTGGTACCTGCTACAATGCAGACAAAACTTATGCTGAGTAAAAGAAGCCAGTCGTGAAAGGCCTTGTATTGTATGGATTTATTTGTATAATATTTCCAGAATAGGCAAATCCAAAGAAACAAAGAGCAGATTGGTGGGTGCTTAGGCATGGGGATTTTGTAGAATTCCATTTGGATTTATCTGTAATGTTTTGAGTGTATCTCTTTGTATAGCTTGTTTGGTGACAGCTCTAGGTATTACATTATATATGTCTAGTGATCACAGTCTATTGGTGTTCTCATTTTACCAGTTCAGTTGGAGTATAGCAATCTTATCTCCCAGTAGTACATTCCTTTATTTTCTTATTTTTATTTTTTATATTTTTGAGACGGAGTCCTGCTCTGTTGCCCAGGCTGGAGTGCAGTGGCATGATCTCAGCTCACTGCAACCTCCACCTCCTGGGTTCAAGCAATTCTATGCTTCAGCCTCCCAAGTAGCTGGGATTACAGGTGCCCACCACCACACCCAGCTAATTTTTGTATTTAGTAGAGATGGGGTTTCACCATCTTGGCCAGCCTGGTCTTGAACTCCTGACCTTGTGATCTGCTCACCTTGGCCTCCCAAAGTGCTGGGATTACAAGCATGAGCCACTGTGCCCGGCCATCCCTTTATTTTATTTTTATTTATTTATTTATTTATTTTTGAGATGGAGTCTCACTCTGTCACCCAGGCTGGAGTGCAGTGGCACAATCTTGGCTCACTGCAACCTCTGCCTCCCAGGTTCAGGGGATTCTCCTGCCTCAGCCTCCCAAGTAGCTGGGATTACAGGCACCCACCCACACCCAGCTAATTTTTGTATTTTTAGTAGAGATGGGGTTTCACCATGTTAGCCAGGCTGGTCTTGAACTCCTGACCTCAAGTGATCCACCCACCTGGGCCTCCCAAAGTGCTGGGATTACACAAGTGAGCTGCCATGCCCGGCCAGTACTTCTCTTTAACATCCACCATTTATAATGTAATTTTCTTAAATATTTCTTCTCTACCTATTTACAGCCACATCAGACAATGTTATACTTACTTCAACAGTCGAATATAATTTGCTTAAGAGGAGAATGAAAGCCTATTATATTTACTCATATTTTGGCTTACCATGTTCTTTCTTCCCGATGATTCAAGGTTATTTCTTATGTCATTCCATTTCTATTTATAAAAATTCATTTAGCCATTCTTTTAGAGTAAGCCGACTTGCAACAAACTTTCTTAGTTCATCTTCATCTGACAAAGTTGATTTCCCCTTGGTTCCTGAAGAACATTTTTTTTCTGGGCACAGGATTCCTTAAAAAAATACTGTATTTCCTTTATATAAAATTCAAGTAAATGCAAATGAATATTTAGCAACAGAGAGAAGATAAGCAATTGAGAACTGGGTGAGGAGGGAGGAGGATGGCATGATTACAAAGGTTGTTAAACAACTTTTGTGGCTATGAATCTATTCATCGTACTGATTTTGGTCATGGTTTCATGCTGGGAATAGAATTCTGAGTTGATGGTTCTTTTCTTTCAGCACCTGAAAAATATTTTGCTGCTTTCTTCAGGCCTCCGTGTTTTTTGATGAGAAATCTGCTATCATTTAAATTGTTTTCTCCTATAAGTGAAGTTCTGTTTTTCTCTGGCTGCTTTCAAAGCTTTTTGTCTTTAGTTTCCAAAAGTTTAATTATGACATAGCTTAGTGTGGATTTGGGCTTACCCTGTTTGAGGTTTTTCCAGCTTCTTGAATCTGTAGGTCGTCTCATCAAATTAGAAAATTTTCAGCCATTATTTCTTTCAGTATTTTTTTAGTCCCACTCTTGCTTTTCCTTCTGGTACTCTCTTGATGGGAGTGTTAGATCTTTTCTTATCATCTCACAGGTGTCTCAGGTTCTTTTTTTTCAGTCTATTTTGTCTTTATTGTTCAGGTTGGGTAATTTCTCTTATTCTATCTTCCATTTTACTAATTCTTTTTTCTTCACCCTCCATTTTGCTGTTGAGACCATTGACTGAGCTTTTTATTTGGCTTTTATATTTTTCAGTTCTAAAATTTGTTTGATTCTTCTTTATATCTTCTATTTCTTTGTCAAGATTTTTTGTTTTTTGCCAGGCACAGTGGCTCACGCCTGTAATCCTAGCACTTTGGGAGGCTGAGGTGGGTGGATCACCTGAGGTCAGGAGTTTGAGACCAGCCTGACCAAGACGGTGAAACCCCATCTTTAAAAAATACAAAAATTAGCCGGGCACGGTGGTGGGCACCTGTAATCCAAGCTACTCAGGAGGCTGAGGCAGGAGAATTGCTTGAACCCGGGAAGTGGAGGTTGCAGTGAGCTGAGATTGTGTCATTGCACTCCAGCTTTGGCGACAGAGCAAGACTCCATCTCAAAAAAAAAAAAAAAAGATTTTCTGTTTTTTGTTTTTTGTTTTTTTCATTTGTTTCAAGCATATTTGCAATTGCCTGTTGAAGCATTTTATCATGGATGCTATAAAATCATTGTCAGGATTTTAACATCTCTGCCCTCTCAGCTTGGCCTCTGTTGATTGTCCTTTTCTCATAGTTTGAGATTTTCCTGGTTCTTGCTGTGACAAGTGACTTTATTTTTATTTTTTTATTTTTTGAGATGGAGTCTTACTCTGTTGGCCAGGCTGGAGTACAGTGGCCCAATCTCAGCTCACTGTAGCCTCCACCTCCCAGGTTCAAGTGATTCTCCTGCCTCGGCTTCCCAAGTAGCTGGAACTACAGACACATGCCACCATGCCTAGCCATTTTTTGTACTTTTTTTTTTCTTTTTTTTTAGTAGAGACAGGGTTTCATCATGTTGGCCAGGCTGGTCTTAAAGTCCTGACCTCAGGTGACCCACCCTCTTTGGCCTCTCAAAGTGCTGGAATTACAGGCATGAGCCACCGCAGCTGGCCACAAGTGACTTTAGATTGAAACCTGGACCCTTTCACATCATGTTAGGAGACTCTGGATCTTATTTAAACCTTCTCTTGTAACTGATTTTTTCTGACAGCACTCCAGCAACAGGAGTGGAGGTGCCCCCTTGTTCCTGCCGGGTGGGGGCAGGAGTCCAGTTCCCCACACAGCCTCTGTTGATGCCTGAGATTGGGGCATGGGGGGTGTCATTGTTATGCTGAACAGCTGTGGCAGTCCTGGCTCCCAGCATGATCACTGCTGGCACCATGGTGGCGGCGGGAGAGTGAAATGGGTAGGGGGTGATGGTGGTATTTGTCCATATCACCACTAGGGGCTGGAGAAAGTCCAGACTCTCCTAGTATGGAGTAGGAGGGGGCCTCTGTTGCTGCCAGTGGGGGTGGACGTCAGGCTCCCCACATGCTCTCTGCTGCCACGGCAGGGTGGGGTCCTCATCTTTAGCTGGCAGGAAGGAAGGTCCTTGTTTGAAACCACACTGGTGGGATACTGGGATCCTCGTTGCAGTCTTGTGAGGGAGGCTGCAGGTGTGGTTAGGGGTAGGGACAGAATTTCGTTGAAGTAGCTGGTAGATGGTCTGAAAATTTTCTCTCATGCTGGGTAGCCCCTTTCCTGGCCCTTAGGCTGGAGAATACAGGCTTTTGTTAATCCTTTTTTTGTCTGTGCCTGGGCTTTTCTGCTACCAGCTTCTCATCCCCACGTCTGAGAGAACCTAGGGGAGGCTCTGCCCCATTCCTCAGGTCCTGAGCTCCCAACCTGTCTGCTTTTGTCTCCCCACCTTCCAGAGTCTTCTTGGGTTTGTTTTACATGTGATATCCAGGGATTTCAGCTGTATTTAGTGAGAGGGAGAAGAAAATGTGTGTTCACTCACCTTCCTGAAAGCAGAAGTCAGTGGTGTGTGCTTTGGTGTGTGCTTGTCGTGTCATTGCTCATCCTGCTGCTTGTCTTTTCACTCTACTGTGTCTTTTAATTAACAGAAGATCTTAATTTTGATCAATTTTTTGTTTTTAATATTTTTTATAATCTGTTTTGAAGAATCTTCACTGAGCCCATAAAGATACTTTGTCCTATGTGATTTTCTAGAAGCTTTATTATTTACTTTTCACATTTAGGCCTACAATTCACCTGGGGTTGAATTTTTTTTTTTGGTATGGGGTGGCACAAGGGCCAAGTTTCCAGTTTTGTCCTGTGGTTATCCCAATGACCAGCACCGTGGATCAAAACCACCACCCTTCCCTTGCTGCTCTGCAAGGTTAATTGGTCATAAATCAAGTATTCATATGTGGGTATGTGTGTTTCCCGACTCTTCATTCTGCCCCACATGTCCTTTGTCTCGCTGAAATCACACTGTCCTGCACGATGGCACTAGGGTCACGTCTTGGCGTTGAGTGATGTGAGCATCAAACTTGGTCTTCAGGATTGCCTTGGCTGTTCTTGAATCTTTGCATTTCCATACAAATTTTAGAACCTGCTCGTCAACTTATAAAATAGCAATCTGGATTTCCATCGTATTGCACTGAATCCATCTATAGACCAAATCCTTACAATTTGTGAACATGGAATAATCCACCATTTATTGAAATCTTTCACCTTTTTGGTTTTTTCGTTTTTGTTTTTCTTTTGAGGCAGAGTCTCACTCTGTCGCCTAGGCTGGAGTGCAGTGGCACAGTCACAGTTCAATGCAGCCTCAACCTCCTGGGCTCGGGCAATCCTCTCACCACAACCTCCTGAGTAAATGGGACCACAGGCGTGCACCACCATGCCCGCCTAATTTTTATTTCATTTTATTTGCAGAGGCGAGATTTCGCCCTGCTGCCCAGGCTGATCTTGAACTCTTAGACTCCTCCCACCTTGGCTTCCCAAAGTACTGGGATTACAGGCGTGAGCCACCATGCCCAATCTGAATTCTTTCACTTTGAAATCCAGTATACCCTTTTTTTTTTTGGAGACGGAGTCTTGCTCTGTCGCCCAGGCTGGAGTGCAGTGGTGCAATCTCGGCTCACTGCAAGCTCCACCTCCCGGGTTCACGCCATTCTCCTGCCTCAGCCTCCTGAGTAGCTGGCACTACAGGTGCCTGCCACCACGCCTGGCTAATTTTTTGTGTTTTTGGTAGAGACGGGGTTTCACCGTGTTAGCCAGGATGGTCTCGATCTCCTGACCTCGTGATCCACCCGCCTCAGCCTCCCAAAGTGCTGAGATTACAGGCGTGAGCCACCGCACCTTGCCAAAATCTAGCGTACTTTGAATATGAGAAAGGCAATGCAGTGTGCATTCCATGTCCCACGTAACACGTTCAGAGGCTCTTGGGAGCGTCCCACAGTCACAGTCAGTCATATACTTCTGAAGGGAAACACGAATATTCACCATTAGCAAATACTCACCTTCATTAGGTTGATGTAAGTAGGTATATACACACGTGTGTATATGCATATATGCATATGTTTATATACATGTATGTGTATATGTATGTGTGTATATGTACGCACGTGTGTACAGATGGCCCCCAACTTACAATGGGTCGACTTACAGTTTTGTTTTTGAGACAGGGTCTTGCCCTGTCACCCAAGCTGGAGTGCAGAGTGGCACAATCAGGGTTCACTGCAGTCACGACCTCCCTGTTCAATCTATTGTCCCACTTTAGCCTCCATGCAGCTGGGGCTACAGGTGTGAGCCGCCACACCCAGCTAATTTCTGTATTTTTTTGTAGAGACAGGGTCTTGCTATATTGCCCAGGCTGGTCTCGAACTCCCGGGCTCAAGTGATCCTCCTTTCTTGGCCAAAGTTCTGGGATTACAGGCATCAGCCATGGTGCCTGGCCTTAACTTACAATTTTTCTCCTTTACCATGGTGTGAAAGTGATACATATTCAGTAGAAGCAATACCTTGACTTTTGGATTTTGGTCTTTTCCCAGGCTCCTCTCTGCAGCAGAAAGCTGAAGTCCCCAGTCAGCCACGTGCCACCAGGATCCACTGCTCTCTGCGAGCACTGACCATGCTGCCAGGTGATTTTGCTGCCGAGTGATTTTGCCCAGCTGTGGCCTAGGTCAGAGTTCTGAGCAAGTCGAAGGTAGGCGAGGCTAAGGCAGAATGTTCGGTAGGTGAGGTGTATTAAAATCATTCCCAGCTTACGATATTTTCAACTTTTGATGGGTTTATCAATTATATCCCAATGTTCGAGTGTATGTATACATGTATATATGTGTATGTTTATGTGCATGTATAGGTGTGTCTATGCATGTATATACATTGTGTGTATGTACCTATGTGTGTATATGTGTATTTATACATATGTATGTGTATATATAGGATGTTAGATGTATGTGTGTGTATACATATGTGTGTCTGTGTGTGTACATATACAGGATATATATAGGACACACACATACATACTATAAATACCCCCACTAGTTCTGGTCGGGCTTACCATCCAATAAATTATAGAACCACTTCCGGTCTTCAAAGCAGTTCAAGTTTCTCGAAGATAATAGATTGTCACCTGCATCAGCAAAGGCTCTGTGCTTCTACCTCTGACCGAGGGTGACAGAGTTACAGCATCCAGTCTCCAGGTCAGCCACCCAAGGCCAGCAGCCCCGCCCTCCACTCGGCTGTGTTCATACTGCGTGGAATCACGGTGACAGGGATTCCAGCGTCCACATCCTGCCAGGCTGCTGGCTCCTCTGCAGGGCTGGGTTTCACAACGCTGCCCGTGGAACAATGCTCATTTCACATAAAAAAGAAAGCAGCATAATTTGCAGATAACCCTCAATGGGAAACTTGGCAATTTAATTAAAAACAGCTCTTGAGGCCTCAAGTATTTTATTTTTCATAGTGAAAATTCGGAAAACCAGCAACCTACTACCAAGGGAGAGATAGGCGGCTGAGTTATTTTTAGCCATACTTTTCTGGGAACATACCAGAATTGTTCGGGATAATTTGATTTGTATCAATAACCCTGGTAGCTTTTAGTGAGACGTTAGTATACTCGGTGAGTGCCCAGATCTGAGCTTCGAATGGGAGGCTCCAGCCACGCCAATGTGGGGGACTGTGAAGAATACAACCGCGCTGCTTGGTGATTACAAGAAGTCCCTGCAGACGGAGGCGCCACGGCCCAGGACCCGCTGCCCTGACTCCCCGCGCGGGTCCCGGAGCTGGAGCTGGGTGGAGCCACGGGCAGGACTCGGCCCCTGCGCACCTGCCTGGCCACGGGCCGGGGGGAGCAGGACCTGCTGCCCAGCCACACTGGCTTTCTCGTGGGTCCGTGGGCTCATAGCCGTGGCCACGGCTCACAGGGCACCCGTCCTCCAGCAGAAATTTTTCTTCACAATAGAAAGGAGAGCAACACTTTCCGGAGAGAGATACTGTTGAAGACGCGCCCCTGATCCAGCCGGCTGTTGGATTCCATGTCTTTTTCTTGCAAACCAAATTAATTCAACATAAAAAGTCATCCATTTGAAAGGAATTTCCCATCAATGTCACTCAGAGAAGGCGACTTAGGCAATGACGCTTGCGAGAGATACTTTAATGCCGTTATTATATCAGTTTTAGCCAATCTAGCCACAACATCGAGGTGACTGCACCGTTTTTCCTTTCTTTGGTTTTCCATGTTACGTTTCATGACAGAAAATGGAAAGGAGAAAATGGACATGACGATCACACTTGGGTTATGCGCTGGAGAAGAGTCATAAATCTGTGTATTGATTCAGATTTTTAGATACAAGGCCCTATATCTTTCTAGCTAATGAAAGTCAGAGTTTGCTTTTTAACTTAATATCTCGCTGTATTAGAGATGCTTGTACCCATTTTGTTAAACGAGTGGAGTCTGTCTATGAGATGAAGGCATTTTTGGAGTCAGGTTGAGTTCCCTCTGGGAGACAATTCTGAAAGGATTTCTCACATTGAGCCGGCACTGAGTTCCCTTTGTTCTGGATGATCTTTTCAAGGGTGTTTATGTAGCAAGCAGCCTCGGAAGGTGAAGACAGTGTCTCCCCAGGAGCCATGGGCAGGCTTGCTCACAGCCGTGGAAGACAGGAATGATGTTTTCCTTTGGGGCACAGGGCAGGCAAGCTCAGTGCCTGTTATAAAAGGCTCGGGGGCCCTAAGCCCAGGCTCCTCCCATGCCCTGCAGCAGTTTGCAGGCCCTGCCTGGTCCTCATCGCACACCCCGTGGGAACTGCTGCAAGGTGCTGGGGTGCTGGCTCCTGCTGGTGGTGTGAGTAATAGACTGTCCTTTCTCTCTGACCCAGGAGTCTCGTATCTTCTGCCAGCATCCCTGAACGTGTGCAGGCCAACTCTTAGCTTGTAACGGGTAAAATCCCAGCTCCTTCCCAGTTCTTGGCAGTGCCTAACATGTTCTGGGTATAAATAATAACAATCTAATCTTCAGATATTCTGAAGTTGTTTATAATAGCATGCACGAGTAGAGTAACAGTTATTATTCCTCCTTGGCCAGATAGGAAAACAGATTCAGAAAGACCAGGTAACTTTCTGAAGGCCACAGAGGGATTTTTGTAGCCACTTACGTACAACAGAGAGCTGAATCCCCAACCTCTTCATGTTGTAATATTACAAGCAGGCAGGGTCTGTTTCTCAAAGGATTTGGAGGAAATATAAGTGCAAATAAAAGAAGAAGAAACATGCAGGATTCAGTTGGAGTAGACAGGTATTGAGAGACATTATGGGCTGTGGAGGGGACAATTGCTGTGTGACTCCAGAACAGAAGGGTCTTGCCTCAGGCGACAACACCAAGAAGCCTGGGCAGCAGCCCGGACTGGCCTGGCGTGTTCCACCTGGGGCAGCTGTGTTGAGCCTGGTTGTGCCTGTGAATGCGTATAACAGCAGTCCCTCTAATCGGGGTCAGCTGTCTCTGCTGTTTCTAAGCCCGGAAGGCCTGGCCCCTCAGTGGAGTGTGCACAGTCACCAGATTGCCGCCCGCTTGTGGATTAGGCTCTCATTCCCACTTTCCAATTGCAGCAGCATGTGCTCAGGTGGAAGCTCCAATGTGGAGGTGAGCTCATGGCTTCCAGCTTGGAAGCTCAGCTCTTCACAACCCATTTTGGTTTGACAAATGTCTATACTTTGGTGACTACAAATAAGCATGAAAATTAAACAATGAAACTCAAGCCTGATATGAATATTTTGTTTGTTTTTAAAGCTCAGCTCCGGGGCCAGGCACAGTGGCTCATGCCTGTAATCCCAGCACTTTGGGAGGCCGAGTCGGGTGGATAACCTGAGGTCAGGAGTTCGAGACCAGCCTGGCCAACATGGTGAAATCCTGTCTCTACTAAAAATACACAGATTAGCCAGGTTTGGTGGCGGGCGCCTGTAATCCCAGCCACTTGGAGGCTGAGGCAGGAGAATCACTTGAACCCGGGAGGTGGAGGTTGCAGTGAGCCGAGATCACGCCACTGCACTCCAGCCTGGGTGACAGAGCGAGACTCCGTCTCAATAAAAATAAATAAATAAAAAAAATAAAGCCCAGCTCCTGCTAGGAGAGAGGTTGGTGCTGAGAGATTGGGAGTAATTATAGACTGGAATGGCACCTGCAGTGGAGGGGACTCTTAGAGGTGGCTGCAGACTGGAGGTCACCCTGACAACACCCAGGTGTCTACAGACTCCCCTTAGCTAGAGGTGCAGAGCCCACATAGCAGGCATTGCTGTAAAACATGAGACTCCTACTTGCTTTTATTTGTGCAGGAAATAAGAACAGAAATAGCCAAAGCTACTGACGTACTAAAAACATCAACACTGTGCCCAAAAGCAGCACTCACAGACAGACATCCGCAGAGCAGTGCATTGTAAGCAGCCAGGCTTGAGGATACCTGACTTAAAGGACAGTGTATCATAAGCAGCCAGGCGTGAGGATACTTGACTTAAAGGAAAAGCAACAGGCCAAGCGAAACGATGAGACAGTCGGCACACACCGCCTTCATCTGTGCAGGGTGCTGTAAAAAAAACACCTGAGACTGTGATTTATAAGCAGCAGAACCTATTGCTCACAGTTCTGGAGGCTGGAAGTCCAAGATCAAAGTGTGGCAAGATCTGGTGTCCAGTGAGGGACCATCCCTCATGGCCAGCACCTTCTGGCAGTGGTCTCACGAGGTGAAAGGGATGAATGAGCTCCCTCGGGCCCTTTTATAAGGCCCCTAATCACATTTTTATGAGGGTTCCGCCCTGTGATCTAGTCCCTTCCAGGAGCCCCACATCCTAGCACCATCACCTTAGGGACTGGCTTCCAGCGTATGCATTTTGGAGGGACACGGACATTCAGACCACAGCACATGAACTCAGGGTGCACCAGAAGTGGTGAGAACTGGCAAATGGGACCCCTGCACTTGTGCAGAGGACAGCTGAGACTCAGCTCCAAGCAAGGGTGACGGTGCAGGAATGCAGGCCCAACAGGTCCAGATCTAGTCTGCTTTGCAGAAGTGGGAAATCTGGGTTTGGGGGTAAATGGGGCACAATTTCATAACCCAGCCAATTAAAAAGAACAGCAGAGCATAGTGGGCAGGACTCATCCGGGCTAGCGTGCTGAGGTCGGCCCGTCCCACCATTCTGCAAGCTCTGCTTTAGAGCCTGAATTTGAGCACTCCCAGGGAGAGAGCCTGGGCTTGAGGAGCGCGAGACGTGCTGGTTGTTCTCCTCGTCCCTGCAGGTGCATTGTCTGCCTCTGCGTGTGCTATGCCCGGGAAGCTGACTGCTGAGGCGCACTGGCCTCTGAGGGCCAAGTGGACCCAGAGACAGGGGGCAGGAGGTCTGTGGGGGAGGAGGAGGGGCTTCAGTGGCGTCCCCTCGATCTCTTCTTGCGGTGTGGTCTGGTGGCAACTGTGTGTGTCAGCCTCTGTCCTCTGCTCCACCCACTGCTCCATCCAGACGGCAGGACCCTCAAGCCCCGCTCTTGCTGGGTCCCTGGGAGGCTCGGCCGCCACTGGCTCCCATAGCCCTGCTGTCCCTCTGTGAGCAGTCCGCCACTGAACGCTCCTGTGAAAGGCTTCTGTGCTCCCACTGCTTCCTGCCAGGGCCCTGACCAATGGGAGCCCTAATATAAGAAGGGGCCTGTTGTGGGCTCAGCTGTGTCCCACCAAAAGATGAGTTCCAGGATGAGCCGTCTGAGTCTGTGAATGTGGCCCTATGTGGAAAGAGGGTCTTTGCAGATGTGATTCATTAAGATGAAATCATAGTGGGGGAGGGTGGACCCTAAACCCAGTGACTGGTGTCCTCATAAGACAAGAAGGGATACACAGAGACACATCGGGGGAGATGGCCATGTGAAGATGGAGGCGGGGGTTGGACGGAGGCGACTACCAATGCCAGGGAGTGCTTGGAGCCACCAGCCGCTGGTTGACGGAAGGAAGGACCCCCCTCATGGCTCCAGAGGGAGCGTGGCTGCAAACACCTTGATCTTGGACTTCTCGTCCCAGAACTGTGAGAGGATGAATTTCTGTGTTGAAAGCCCCCAACTTGTGGTCATTTGTCATGGCGGCCCCAGGACACTTACACATGCCACTCTGGGGGGACACGGGGGTGCCCACAAACGAGAGACCGGGAAGGCAGCACCTTAGCTGATGAAGTGGTGGGAGGTTCACCTGCTTCAAGTGTCTGAGTGTCACCCGGGGAATCGTGGGGAATGGTTGGGTGTTGGCACCCAACCACACCAAAGTGTTGTAGTCATCACAAAGTTCAGGGTTTCCTAAGACGAGCTCTGGGGTCGACTATTTTTGGGAACTGTGCACTCTGCATTCCACTCTTGGAGAGCTAAAACTTCTTGGCTATAAGTCCATGAGTGTATTTAAGGCTCTAAGATCTCCTTCAGCAAAGAAAAGCAGCTTAACCTTACCTTTCATTCAGTGTTTTCCAAAATAAGTTGATTCCCAGGCCAGTGTCTTGCCCCTCACTGCAGTTTCTGCTTTGGCACCACATTGGAAAATAGGCATCACTGTGACTTACGTGGGGAGCAAGTAGGGTAATGCATTTGACACCAGGGCTTTGTGCCTGGGGATGGTAACCATCGATCAAAACACACTCAACATTCATTAGGCCAATATTAAAACTCAAAGTTAGTCAAAGATTGCTTTGGGAAATGCCATTCTGTTGATTTTTCCCTAGAATTAAAGGAATGTCAAATACTAAATTGTCTAAGTTACTGTTTATACTCAAATCCAGACCTAAGCTGGGAGATTTGGTATTAAAACCTCTTAAAAGATTCCCTTCATAGCAATGCTGGCATTGAGAGTGGCATCAGCAACCACTTTGAAAGCACTCATTTTTTTTTTTTTTTTTTTTGAGATGGCGTCTCGCTCTGTCACCCAGGCTGGAGTGCAGTGGTGCAATCTTGGCTCACTGCAATCTCTGCCTCCTGGGTTCAAGCAATTCTCCTGTCTTAGCCTCCCAACTAGCTGGGACTACAGGCGCACACCACCAAGCCTGGCTAATTTTTGTATTTTTAGTAGAGACAGGGTTTCACCATGCTGGCCAGGCTGGTCTTGAACTCCCGCCTTCAGGTGATCCACCTACCTCCGCCTCCCAAAGTGCTGGAATTAAAGGTGTGAGCCACTGCACTTAGCTGAAAGCACACATTTTTAATAACCAAGAGATTATGAGGCTTCTTTTATTTCTTGAGTGATCAAAGACCTGATAACTCCAAATACTCTGAAAAGTAGTAAGGCGGAGCGGAGAGGGGAGGTACTGATCCCACACCCGGTCATGTGGTGTGTTTGATTTAAGTTGTAAGGAGGGGACTGATCACACACCCGGTCATGAGGTGTGTTTGATTTAAGTAGTAAGGAGGGGACTGATCCCACACCCGGTCATGAGGTGTGTTGGATTTAAGTAGTAAGGAGGGGACTGATCCCACACCCGGTCATGAGGTGTGTTGGATTTAAGTAGTAAGGAGGGGACTGATCACACACCCGGTCATGAGGTGTGTTTGATTTAAGTAGTAAGGAGGGGACTGATCACACACCCGGTCATGGAGTGTGTTTGATTTAAGTAGTAAGGAGGGGGCTGATCACACACCCGGTCATGCAGTGTGTTTGATTTAAGTAGTAAGGAGGGGGCTGATCCCACACCCGGTCATGCAGTGTGTTTGATTTAAGTAGTAAGGAGGGGGCTGATCACACACCCGGTCATGGAGTGTGTTTGATTTAAGTAGTAAGGAGGGGACTGATCACACACCCGGTCATGAGGTGTCTTTGATTTAAGTAGTAAGGAGGGGACTGATCCCACACCCGGTCATGAGGTGTCTTTGATTTAAGTAGTAAGGAGGGGGCTGATCACACACCCGGTCATGCAGTGTGTTTGATTTAAGTAGTAAGGAGGGGACTGATCACACACCCGGTCATGCAGTGTGTTTGATTTAAGTAGTAAGGAGGGGGCTGATCCCACACCCGGTCATGGAGTGTGTTTGATTTAAGTAGTAAGGAGGGGGCTGATCACACACCCGGTCATGCAGTGTGTTTGATTTAAGTAGTAAGGAGGGGACTGATCCCACACCCGGTCATGCAGTGTGTTTGATTTAAGTAGTAAGGAGGGGACTGATCCCACACCCGGTCATGCAGTGTGTTTGATTTAAGTAGTAAGGAGGGGGCTGATCACACACCCGGTCATGGAGTGTGTTTGATTTAAGTAGTAAGGAGGGGACTGATCCCACACCCGGTCATGCAGTGTGTTTGATTTAAGTAGTAAGGAGGGGGCTGATCACACACCCGGTCATGGAGTGTGTTTGATTTAAGTAGTAAGGAGGGGGACTGATCACACACCCGGTCATGGAGTGTGTTTGATTTAAGTAGTAAGGAGGGGGCTGATCACACACCCGGTCATGCAGTGTGTTTGATTTAAGTAGTAAGGAGGGGGCTGATCACACACCCGGTCATGCAGTGTGTTTGATTTAAGTAGTAAGGAGGGGGCTGATCCCACACCCGGTCATGCAGTGTGTTTGATTTAAGTAGTAAGGAGGGGGCTGATCACACACCCGGTCATGCAGTGTGTTTGATTTAAGTAGTAAGGAGGGGACTGATCCCACACCCGGTCATGCAGTGTGTTTGATTTAAGTAGTAAGGAGGGGACTGATCCCACACCCGGTCATGGAGTGTGTTTGATTTAAGTAGTAAGGAGGGGGCTGATCCCACACCCGGTCATGCAGTGTGTTTGATTTAAGTAGTAAGGAGGGGGCTGATCCCACACCCGGTCATGGAGTGTGTTTGATTTAAGTAGTAAGGAGGGGGCTGATCCCACACCCGGTCATGCAGTGTGTTTGATTTAAGTAGTAAGGAGGGGGCTGATCACACACCCGGTCATGTGGTGTGTTTGATTTAAGTAGTAAGGAGGGGGCTGATCACACACCCGGTCATGCAGTGTGTTTGATTTAAGTAGTAAGGAGGGGACTGATCCCACACCCGGTCATGCAGTGTGTTTGATTTAAGTAGTAAGGAGGGGACTGATCCCACACCCGGTCATGCAGTGTGTTTGATTTAAGTAGTAAGGAGGGGGCTGATCCCACACCCGGTCATGCAGTGTGTTTGATTTAAGTAGTAAGGAGGGGACTGATCCCACACCCGGTCATGCAGTGTGTTTGATTTAAGTAGTAAGGAGGGGACTGATCCCACACCCGGTCATGCAGTGTGTTTGATTTAAGTAGTAAGGAGGGGGCTGATCACACACCCGGTCATGGAGTGTGTTTGATTTAAGTAGTAAGGAGGGGACTGATCCCACACCCGGTCATGCAGTGTGTTTGATTTAAGTAGTAAGGAGGGGGCTGATCACACACCCGGTCATGGAGTGTGTTTGATTTAAGTAGTAAGGAGGGGGCTGATCACACACCCGGTCATGCAGTGTGTTTGATTTAAGTAGTAAGGAGGGGACTGATCACACACCCGGTCATGGAGTGTGTTTGATTTAAGTAGTAAGGAGGGGGCTGATCACACACCCGGTCATGCAGTGTGTTTGATTTAAGTAGTAAGGAGGGGGCTGATCACACACCCGGTCATGCAGTGTGTTTGATTTAAGTAGTAAGGAGGGGGCTGATCACACACCCGGTCATGGAGTGTGTTTGATTTAAGTAGTAAGGAGGGGACTGATCCCACACCCGGTCATGGAGTGTGTTTGATTTAAGTAGTAAGGAGGGGACTGATCACACACCCGGTCATGCAGTGTGTTTGATTTAAGTAGTAAGGAGGGGGCTGATCCCACACCCGGTCATGCAGTGTGTTTGATTTAAGTAGTAAGGAGGGGACTGATCCCACACCCGGTCATGCAGTGTGTTTGATTTAAGTAGTAAGGAGGGGGCTGATCACACACCCGGTCATGGAGTGTGTTTGATTTAAGTAGTAAGGAGGGGACTGATCCCACACCCGGTCATGCAGTGTGTTTGATTTAAGTAGTAAGGAGGGGGCTGATCACACACCCGGTCATGGAGTGTGTTTGATTTAAGTAGTAAGGAGGGGGCTGATCACACACCCGGTCATGCAGTGTGTTTGATTTAAGTAGTAAGGAGGGGACTGATCACACACCCGGTCATGCAGTGTGTTTGATTTAAGTAGTAAGGAGGGGACTGATCCCACACCCGGTCATGCAGTGTGTTTGATTTAAGTAGTAAGGAGGGGACTGATCCCACACCCGGTCATGCAGTGTGTTTGATTTAAGTAGTAAGGAGGGGGCTGATCACACACCCGGTCATGGAGTGTGTTTGATTTAAGTAGTAAGGAGGGGACTGATCACACACCCGGTCATGAGGTGTCTTTGATTTAAGTAGTAAGGAGGGGACTGATCCCACACCCGGTCATGCAGTGTGTTTGATTTAAGTAGTAAGGAGGGGGCTGATCACACACCCGGTCATGCAGTGTGTTTGATTTAAGTAGTAAGGAGGGGGCTGATCACACACCCGGTCATGCAGTGTGTTTGATTTAAGTAGTAAGGAGGGGACTGATCACACACCCGGTCATGGAGTGTGTTTGATTTAAGTAGTAAGGAGGGGACTGATCCCACACCCGGTCATGGAGTGTGTTTGATTTAAGTAGTAAGGAGGGGACTGATCCCACACCCGGTCATGCAGTGTGTTTGATTTAAGTAGTAAGGAGGGGGGGACTGATCACACACCCGGTCATGCAGTGTGTTTGATTTAAGTAGTAAGGAGGGGACTGATCCCACACCCGGTCATGCAGTGTGTTTGATTTAAGTAGTAAGGAGGGGGCTGATCACACATTCGGTCATGGAGTGTGTTTGATTTAAGTAGTAAGGAGGGGGCTGATCACACACCCGGTCATGGAGTGTGTTTGATTTAAGTAGTAAGGAGGGGACTGATCACACACCCGGTCATGGAGTGTGTTTGATTTAAGTAGTAAGGAGGGGGCTGATCACACACCCGGTCATGCAGTGTGTTTGATTTAAGTAGTAAGGAGGGGGCTGATCACACACCCGGTCATGGAGTGTGTTTGATTTAAGTAGTAAGGAGGGGACTGATCACACACCCGGTCATGCAGTGTGTTTGATTTAAGTAGTAAGGAGGGGGCTGATCACACACCCGGTCATGCAGTGTGTTTGATTTAAGTAGTAAGGAGGGGGCTGATCACACACCCGGTCATGGAGTGTGTTTGATTTAAGTAGTAAGGAGGGGACTGATCCCACACCCGGTCATGGAGTGTGTTTGATTTAAGTAGTAAGGAGGGGGCTGATCACACACCCGGTCATGCAGTGTGTTTGATTTAAGTAGTAAGGAGGGGGCTGATCCCACACCCGGTCATGAGGTGTCTTTGATTTAAGTAGTAAGGAGGGGACTGATCCCACACCCGGTCATGGAGTGTGTTTGATTTAAGTAGTAAGGAGGGGACTGATCCCACACCCGGTCATGCAGTGTGTTTGATTTAAGTAGTAAGGAGGGGACTGATCACACACCCGGTCATGCAGTGTGTTTGATTTAAGTAGTAAGGAGGGGGCTGATCACACACCCGGTCATGCAGTGTGTTTGATTTAAGTAGTAAGGAGGGGGCTGATCACACACCCGGTCATGGAGTGTGTTTGATTTAAGTAGTAAGGAGGGGACTGATCACACACCCGGTCATGCAGTGTGTTTGATTTAAGTAGTAAGGAGGGGACTGATCACACACCCGGTCATGGAGTGTGTTTGATTTAAGTAGTAAGGAGGGGACTGATCCCACACCCGGTCATGGAGTGTGTTTGATTTAAGTAGTAAGGAGGGGGCTGATCACACACCCGGTCATGCAGTGTGTTTGATTTAAGTAGTAAGGAGGGGGCTGATCACACACCCGGTCATGGAGTGTGTTTGATTTAAGTAGTAAGGAGGGGGGGACTGATCACACACCCGGTCATGGAGTGTGTTTGATTTAAGTAGTAAGGAGGGGGCTGATCACACACCCGGTCATGCAGTGTGTTTGATTTAAGTAGTAAGGAGGGGGCTGATCACACACCCGGTCATGCAGTGTGTTTGATTTAAGTAGTAAGGAGGGGGGGACTGATCACACACCCGGTCATGGAGTGTCTTTGATTTAAGTAGTAAGGAGGGGGCTGATCACACACCCGGTCATGCAGTGTGTTTGATTTAAGTAGTAAGGAGGGGGCTGATCACACACCCGGTCATGGAGTGTGTTTGATTTAAGTAGTAAGGAGGGGGGGACTGATCCCACACCCGGTCATGGAGTGTGTTTGATTTAAGTAGTAAGGAGGGGGCTGATCACACACCCGGTCATGGAGTGTGTTTGATTTAAGTAGTAAGGAGGGGGCTGATCACACACCCGGTCATGCAGTGTGTTTGATTTAAGTAGTAAGGAGGGGGCTGATCACACACCCGGTCATGGAGTGTGTTTGATTTAAGTAGTAAGGAGGGGACTGATCACACACCCGGTCATGCAGTGTGTTTGATTTAAGTAGTAAGGAGGGGGCTGATCACACACCCGGTCATGCAGTGTGTTTGATTTAAGTAGTAAGGAGGGGGCTGATCACACACCCGGTCATGCAGTGTGTTTGATTTAAGTAGTAAGGAGGGGGCTGATCACACACCCGGTCATGCAGTGTGTTTGATTTAAGTAGTAAGGAGGGGGCTGATCACACACCCGGTCATGCAGTGTGTTTGATTTAAGTAGTAAGGAGGGGACTGATCACACACCCGGTCATGCAGTGTGTTTGATTTAAGTAGTAAGGAGGGGGCTGATCACACACCCGGTCATGCAGTGTGTTTGATTTAAGTAGTAAGGAGGGGGCTGATCCCACACCCGGTCATGCAGTGTGTTTGATTTAAGTAGTAAGGAGGGGACTGATCACACACCCGGTCATGCAGTGTGTTTGATTTAAGTAGTAAGGAGGGGGCTGATCACACACCCGGTCATGCAGTGTGTTTGATTTAAGTAGTAAGGAGGGGGCTGATCACACACCCGGTCATGGAGTGTGTTTGATTTAAGTAGTAAGGAGGGGACTGATCCCACACCCGGTCATGGAGTGTGTTTGATTTAAGTAGTAAGGAGGGGGCTGATCACACACCCGGTCATGCAGTGTGTTTGATTTAAGTAGTAAGGAGGGGGCTGATCACACACCCGGTCATGGAGTGTGTTTGATTTAAGTAGTAAGGAGGGGGGGACTGATCACACACCCGGTCATGGAGTGTGTTTGATTTAAGTAGTAAGGAGGGGGCTGATCACACACCCGGTCATGCAGTGTGTTTGATTTAAGTAGTAAGGAGGGGGCTGATCACACACCCGGTCATGGAGTGTGTTTGATTTAAGTAGTAAGGAGGGGACTGATCACACACCCGGTCATGCAGTGTGTTTGATTTAAGTAGTAAGGAGGGGGCTGATCACACACCCGGTCATGCAGTGTGTTTGATTTAAGTAGTAAGGAGGGGGCTGATCACACACCCGGTCATGCAGTGTGTTTGATTTAAGTAGTAAGGAGGGGGCTGATCACACACCCGGTCATGCAGTGTGTTTGATTTAAGTAGTAAGGAGGGGGCTGATCACACACCCGGTCATGCAGTGTGTTTGATTTAAGTAGTAAGGAGGGGACTGATCCCACACCCGGTCATGCAGTGTGTTTGATTTAAGTAGTAAGGAGGGGACTGATCCCACACCCGGTCATGCAGTGTGTTTGATTTAAGTAGTAAGGAGGGGGCTGATCCCACACCCGGTCATGCAGTGTGTTTGATTTAAGTAGTAAGGAGGGGACTGATCCCACACCCGGTCATGCAGTGTGTTTGATTTAAGTAGTAAGGAGGGGACTGATCCCACACCCGGTCATGCAGTGTGTTTGATTTAAGTAGTAAGGAGGGGGCTGATCACACACCCGGTCATGCAGTGTGTTTGATTTAAGTAGTAAGGAGGGGACTGATCCCACACCCGGTCATGCAGTGTGTTTGATTTAAGTAGTAAGGAGGGGGCTGATCACACACCCGGTCATGCAGTGTGTTTGATTTAAGTAGTAAGGAGGGGGCTGATCACACACCCGGTCATGCAGTGTGTTTGATTTAAGTAGTAAGGAGGGGGCTGATCACACACCCGGTCATGCAGTGTGTTTGATTTCTCAGGTTTTTCCAAATCCAATTAATTAGGTGTTCATTTCTAATGTGGCCTTTGAACCAAATACCCGTCGGGCAGGTGGCAGGCATACCCTGGTCCATTCCACGGGAGATGCTCTGGCATAACTCAGGGCCTGGCAGATGTCTGTCCCGCTGCATCTGGAGCAAATGGAGTTACCATTTCCTGTGTTAAAAGTCTCTGTTCAGCTGCCTCAGCAGCGTGTTTCTTTCTGTTGAAAGTCCTTCGCCCTGGCACAGTTTCACATTCCTGCCATGGGTCCCGGAGCCCGGGAAGGTTCTCACTGTCGCTAGGCTGATGGGACTTCAAGAGTTTGCTTTCGGCATTTAAGAAAAATGTTACCTTTATAAAAAGAGTTTTGGTTCTGCTATTATTTCTATTACCCAAAACACACCTAAGTGCTTCAATTATGCAGACATTTAAGAACTTATTGTATATTTTCCTCAACAATTGTTTATGCCCTTTTTGCTGAAGATAAATATTTTATCTTGGCTGTGGAAGTGACTTCTTCAGCACTGAGCTGGATTTACAGCACAAAGGGAAAGAAAGCTTTGGGTGGGAAATGCTGTGTGTATAGGCAAACAGCACACACATTCTTTCACAATTTACAGAAAGTGCTTCTCCTGGGTTTTCAGAAGTATCAAAAGTACATATTTGCCCAGACAATTGTTTACTTGGGAGCTGTGCTGTGTATAGTGATGGTGATTCCTCAATTTTATATCTCCTCCAACATTATTCTGTTTTTAATTCTTTGGCGTCCAGATTGTGATACCTTCCCTTCTCCATGGCTAAAAAGACCCCGTATCAGAAGCCAGAGTCATTTATGGGGATAGGACACTCACCTGTGAGTGTTCAATGCAATCCTCCAGCTTTCTGCTTGGTTAAGGGTGCAAAATTATGGTTTTGATTGTGTTTGTCTTCTTAAAGCTTAAACATTTTTGCAGGACAGAACTACCGAGAGTAACAATCCTCCCCTTTATTTTCGCTTTTCTTAAAATCAGTGATTTATTTTTGGAATTTTGTACCATCTCTGGTTGGATGGTTACACCTTGTTTTTCTATTTCTTTGGAATAGCTATACCTGCCCTTTCCTGTATGAATTATAAATAACCCTCCAGAAACCTCAAGAAAAGATCCCAATGTTCATTCTTACATGTGTCTCACCTTAAAAATTGTTGCATTTCATCATTTTCTTACCAAGTCATTTATGACCCTTCCCCAAGTACATTCATGATTCAAAACCAGTGGGATTAAAACCTTTCACCACTGTATTCAAAACCAGTGTGAGTAAAACTCTTCACTGTTGTATTCAAAACCAGTGTGATTAAAACCCTTCACCATATTGTACTAGTGATACATGCATTCAGGGAATTCTTCATAATTGAAAACCTCCTTAAGTTATTCCAATAGATTTAAATTCAATTGAGAGTTACTTACTATATAATACCTTATAAACCTTTATATCTGGAACTGCAAATATTTTTATTTCCATATAAACAATTTTAATATGAAGGGATATAAATGTTTGTCTAGAAACCAAACCCAAAACATAAAATGTTGAAAGAAGGACACATAATTAAGGGATGGAGCAAATGGTAAAAAAAATTGAGAAACAATGAAAAAAGAAACTTAGCAAATATTGGTGCAATAGATGATTCAAGAGTTGCATAAAGTTATCACTAACATTTATGTAATACTATATAACAACCACTGCTCTGAGCACTTCATAAAGAGTCAGGCATCACTTAATAATGAGGGTGTGTTCTGACAAATCGGTCATTAGGCGATTTGTCCTTGTGGGGTCAACACAGAGTGTCCTTACCCAAACCTGGGCAGTGCAGCCTATACACACCAAGGCTGCAAGCATGGCCCATGGCCCAGGGCTGCAGACATGCACTGCCTGAACTGAGTACTGCAGGCAATTGTAACACAATGGTAAGTATTATGCACCTAAACATACCTAAATGTGGAAAAGGTGCAGTAAAAACCGTAGATAGGATAAAAAATGATACACTGCATAGGGCACGGACCATGAACACGGCCTGCAGGACTGGGGGCTGCCTTGGGTGAGTTGTGAGTGAGGGTGTGGACGTGGCTGTAGACTTTATAAACACTGCACACTTAGGCTACGCTCAGCTCATTAGATAAACTTTAGCTTACTGTAACATTTTTACTTTATAAACTTTTTAATTTAAAAACACTTTTTGGAGCTTGTAATAACAGCTTAAAAGATAAACACATTGTACAGCTGTACAAAAATATTTCCTTTCTTTATATCCTTATTCTATCGGCTTTTTTCTAGTTAATTTTTTTTAAAGTTTTCAAATTTTTTGTTAAAAACTAAGACACAAACACACACATTAGCCTTGGCCTATACAGGGTCAGGATCATCAGTATCATGGCCTCTGCCTCCACATCTCATCCCACTGGGAGGTCTCCTGGGGCCATAACACGCACGGAGCTGTCCTCTCCTGTGACAACAATGCCTTATGCTGGACACTTCCTGGTGGACCTGCCTGAAGCCGTTTTCCGGTTACCTTTTTATATAGACATACGTAAGTAGAAGGAACACTCTAAAATAACAATAAAAAGTATAGTAAGTACATAAAGCAGAACAATGCTTTTTATTATGACTATGGAGCATCATGTACTGGACACAGCTGTGTGTGCTGGACTTTCACAGACCGGCAGTGCAGTCTGCTTGTGTACACCAGCATCTCCACACACATGTGAGTCACCCTTTGTGCTACATGCGGCGGTCCCAGCATCACCAGGCAATGGGGAGTTTCCAGCTCCACTGTGATCTGATGGGCCCAGCGGGGAACGTGTGATCTGCTGTTGACTATGCCGCTGTCACCCGGCACGCGGCTCCCTTCCACGAGTGTCACCCGCACAAGGAGTCTGTGAAGCTGGCAGTGTCCTTATGCCCATTTCCCAGATGAGGGAAATGACAGAGCTCAAATCTGAATCCTGGCAATCTGACGTCAGCTTCATACCCCGAGCCGTGAATCCTTCCTAAGCAAGGTGATGGCTCAAAGCAGAAGAGAGAAAAGAAAAGAAAGACGCAAAGGAAAAGATGCATCCATACAGCGATGTTTTTCAAACGGTTTGGTCATGACCCACTTCACATGGACAGCCCAGCCACACCCATGCAGGAACATCAACCGGGACTCACGCTTTCAATTTGCCGCAAAGCCTGACACTTCCTACTCGATTTTCTTTCATTAAAAAAGAAAAAAACAAAAAAAAAAAAACCCCACAAGACTGGTTTAGAGCCGCTAAGCTGATCTCATGACCCACAAATGAGCTGTGACCCACATTTTGAAAACTGCCACTTAGCTAGAAACCCTTAACTCTCTTTCATCACAAATGTAACAGAACGAGGGTGCAGTTTCAGTTGAAAAGAGAGACAGCGACATCTATACAAACCGCTTATTCTGAAGATGATAGATAAAAATTTCAGGATAAATTACTCTAGCTTTAAAGTCAATAGGAAACGATGATATGGATTAAAGTTTTATTGGTAGTCTGAAAGATTTCTAACATGTTAATAAAATATCGCTGTAAATTTTGATATGGGAAACAAATAAATAAACCACAACAGCAAAAACCCCACAACTTAGAATTTATAATTATTTCTCACATTATTGCCAATAAAACTGTGAGCAACTTAATTTTTTTGATTTATCTGTATCATATTTAAGAATATTTCTAGGCAATGAGATAAAATATTTAACAGAGGAGTTTTTGCAAGAGGCAGAATAATCTCATATGATCTGCTTAGGAGGAAAATTATATTTAAGGATAGTTAGCATATTCCTTACATTCAGCTACATAATGTTACATAATGGAAGGATATAAATGCTAAGTAAAATACAATCTCAGCTGATGAATGGGGATAACAATTCCCTAGGGCTTACATACACTGAGGCAAATAATATTTAAGCCAGTTGACAGTGGCATCCGATGAAATGGTTGATGATAGTAATAAAAATAAAGGTCACTTTCACAGCTCAAAGTGTATAAAGGTTCACCGTTACAAGCAACCCTTTGGATTCAAAGATTTTTAAATGTGGCTGTAGGTCCGTGACAATTCAATGATGAATCCAAATTCAAATTTGACACTAAGGCTTAAGCCCAAGAATCAGACTCAAGATTCTAATAACCACTGGGTTATAAACTCCTAGAACCAAGAATGATTTCAGAAATATATTGCATTTGCTTCAAATTTTAATTTTAGGTTCATATGGAAATGTTCCAGGATACCATAGTGCATATGAAAATTAAATGTAAATGCCTAGAATTCAGTCCCTGTTGACAGCTGAATTCCAGCGATGGTTGCAAAGTATCTAGATCTTGGCTCCACAAAGCAGGTGCTCTGAACAGACTATTAATTGCAGTAAGAATAATGCTCTATGATTACAATGGAAGCAAGATACAGTGTACGTTTAACAAATGGAAACACACCATCTACTTGGGCTGTTTATTCATTCCAGGACCAAAACAGCTACTGAAATTTCTGAGTTTCTAATTTAGAAAATCTTAAATAGGGAGAGAAAGGTTTGGACAAGCCTGGCTAACAGTTTTCAAAAACTCATTAGTCCTGTAAAATTTCAATTTATCCTCTCAAATTTGCAAGGCTTCCAGCGCATTTACCAATAATACCCTTTCTTTTCAAGTTATCCTCACCTCCATCTGCAGTTCCCCATATCATTAAACTGAACACGGGAATGTGACCGCAGAAAACCATTCAGCATTCCCTGTCAATAATTACTATTAAAAGAAGAGAAAGAGGAGAGGTGGAAGAGATTAAAGTTCCCTGGTGGACTGGCTTCCCTCTTCAGCCAGATTTCTGTGAAATTCAGAGAATATTTCTGCATTTATAACACAAATATCAGCTTATCAACAACTATTCATTGGACCCTTGTTACGGGCAAGGCTTTGCGGCTGCCTCCACGAAGGTGAGAACGTACATATATTTCCCTTGTGATACACAATTCACATAATCACGCGTAGGATAATTCAACTAACACGCAGGCCTGCGTCCGAAGCATCTCTCGGGTGTTAACACGACCCTGGCCCACAGCGGTTGGCAAGGTGAGTATCCCGCAGTGGGCCACGCGGGCTCCTCTGATGAGGAAGATGGAATACATGGACAGTGTGCAGACACAGGCCAGGGAGTGGCGGGAGCATCATCCAGAAGCGGGACCGTTTGCAACCACCTCGCATATCGCTTTCTGGAGCGAAAGGTGGCCCAGTGGCCCCTTCACCCTGCAGACAGGCCACTGGAGTGGCTTTGTCCTGCTGGTCCTGGCTCCAGTCCTGGGCCTGCCTGTGGCTATCTGCATCAGAGCTCAGAGTGTGATGGCTTCACTCTACCCCCATTATCAAATTTAACTCCCCCAAAGGCTGCAGCATCCCCTGGCCCCCTGGCGAGGCTGAGCCTCAGCCCTAACTTTGGGGTCGGGGTCTGGAGTCTGTGGGGTGCTGTGCCCTGGCCCCATGCCTCAGGCTGCCTCACTTAGCTGGCTCTGCTGGAAGTCGCCCGGAGCCAGCCATGGACGGTGCAGAGCCCACCGCCCGCTTCCCTCCCACACATTGACCGGGTTGCTGGAGCAGTATCTCTGGACTGCGGATCTGGTCTCCTCGTTGCTCCGCTTACACATGGCCGATGGTTCCCTTTAGGAGGGATGGGTGCCTGAAAGAGCCGGGGGAGGCATTCTGGGCAGAGGGAGCCCTCAGGAATGGATGGCGTCAGGCTGGTGACCGTTTCAGAAGCCCGGCAAGGCGGACCCCTGGGTTCCACTTCACAAACCCCGCTTTTGAGATTCAGAGAGCACAGGCAACGGCCTGTGGGTAAAAGCTGTGCGAGTAAAAGCTAGAAACTAAACAGAGGACTCTCTGATCAGAGCCCAGGCCGTCTAGGATTAGCATGATGCCCACTAACCCACTTAGTTCACGGGGTTGGCAGGAAGCAGCCTCGGGCAGCATGGAGAGGGCTGAACAGGTCCTGTTGGCCAGGCATGCGTGAGGCTGGCGGCACAGAGGCTCAGGGCAGGAAGCCAGAGGGCCCCAGGATGAGCCACTGCATGGCCGACGACTCTTCTCCTCCATTGAATAGAATCGGGCGTTCAATTCAACGCCTTGTGTGTAATCTGTGGGAACATATATAGGTTCTCACCTTAGTGGAGCCAGCCGCAAAGCCTTGCACGTAACAAGTGTCCAGTAAATATTTGTTGATGAACTGATATGAGTGTTATAAATGCAGAAATATTCTTCAAACTTTACAGAAGTTCGGCTTCTGGGAAGCCAATCTGCCAGAAGTTTTAATCTCTTCTACCTCTCCTCTTTTTCTTTTGCTCTTTTTCTTTTGATAGTGAGCCTTTCTGGCTCACTTCTCAGCTGGGAGTCGCCCCAGGACACAGTGTAGGTCCAAGAAACCTAAGCAGAAGTCAGCTGAATGGGGTTTTTCCAGAAAAGCTTTCACTCTTCTGATCAAGAGATAGGATTGGCTTCCAGGCCTGGTGCCCTCGTTCTTTTCTCTTTCTGAGGGAGCGTGAATGCAATGGCTGGGTCTGCAGCAGCCATCCTGTGGTCACGTGGGGAGCAGCGTGAGAACAACCCACACACTAATGCCTGTGGGGGTGTCCGTGAGGTGCTGAGTCATCCCCAGCAACCCCCTCGCTCTGGACTTCGAGTTATGTGAGAAAAACAAACTCCGACTGAAGCTATGATATGGGGTTTCCATTCTTTGTAGTCAAATGCAAACTTTACTGATAGAACAAGGGCCTCGGATAAAAGGACATAAGGACACTGGGTGCCTTGGGCAGCACTGGAGACATACTTCTACTTCATCACAGCACAGGGCCAGCTCCCTCTTTAAGCACTGTTCAAAGCTTCCTTAAAGTGGTCCCAAGACCAGAAGCAGCTGTACCAGCCGCCTGGGATCTTGTCAGACTTACAGAGTCCCAGCCCCACCCAGACCTGGAGAACTGGAATCTGCATCTGACGCATGGCCAGGGCCCTGTGCCGATGTCACAGCACTAAGTCCAGTGCAGACCAGCGGTTTTAAATCCTGGCCTCACACTGATCAACACGTGGGCTGCCCTTGGACATTCTGATCCGATGGGCCTGCAGAGAGGTGGGCCAAGTTTCCTGCGGGAACCCTTCCCTCTAAGCTGTGAGGTGTACCTTTAACTGTTAGGTTAATTCTGGACCCAACTCCGCAGTCCCATTGGGTCATCACAGCTGACTAGCCTAGGGCTTAGGAGGCTGACCCTTCAGACTTGACCCCCACGTGGAGCTGTTGGGGTGACCGCGCCACGGGAGAGTTTTGCTGTGATTCTGTGTCCCCCCAAAAGGAAGGGCTCAGCAGTGGCCTGGGTGCCCAGACCTGCGTGCGGGGACAGCCTCCTGAGCCTGTGGAACTGGAACAGGAGAGAGACGTTATTTAAAATACAACCGTGAGTCGCAACCTGGTGCCGTGTGGGACCGAACGGAAAAGAGGTTGAGCCTCACGTGCTAAAATGACATCCCAGGGAGGCCGGCGGCTCCGGGTCAGCACAGAAGGGCGGGCCCGGGTCAGCGTGCGGCCGGCTCCCGCAGAGATCGCACCCCGCGTGGGGCGTCACAGCCACTGCTTCGGCCTCACATGGACGCCCACATTTTATTCCAAGATCCGAGTGTGACCGGGCAATGGGCCCACCCGGGACCCGCAGCCCCGCAGCACGGTGAGAAGCCACGGCCGCACGCTGCCCCGCGGGGCTCATCGGGTGCTGACTGTGGCCGAAATTCTGGCGGTCTGGAGGCAGCGTTGCCTTTACAGTTGGCGAGGAGCCATCGTGCCGGCCAGGGGACATGCCTGGGGGTGGCAGAGGCCGTCCCTGCGCAGTGCTCGCCCTGGGCCCCGAGGATGGGCCCCGCTCCCAGGGCCGGGTCTTCCCTCCCAGGGCGGCGCCTCGGTCCCCCGCGGTTCATTCCATGTCGCGGCGCAGGGCCTGGATCGAACGGGCTCTGCAGCCAGAGTGAGGGCTCACCCCGGACACGCCTGCAGGAACCATCCTGGCACCGACAGCCGAGGTCACAGGCTTCCCTGCGGCGCGACGGCTGCGCACCTGGGAGGGGAGGAGCTGCCCTCCGCCCTGGCCGGTGCTCGACGCCTCCGGAGCCCACGCGCCCTCCACCCCCACGAGAGCCTTGGGGTCGGGGTCACTGAGGGCTGCACGTGGGCTGCAGGGGCATCTGCTTTCGGGGCTGGCCCAGGGCTCGGAGCTCTGCCCCAGAGTCCCGGTCCCCAGAAAGCCTGGGGAGGGGACTCAGGAGCGTCTGCTGACTTCCCTCTGCTCCGCCGGCCTCCGTGGCTTCGTGCGGAGACACATGCGTGAGCGCTCGTGAAGAAGCAAGGCCGCTGCGAGACTCGGGGACTTACCTAAGAAGGGACTGTCAAAAGCGGACCGACCCCTGCTAGCTCGCCACTGGATCGGAACTCGGCCTCGAAGCCAGGCCCGGCGCAGGCCACAGCACAGCCCGAGAAACGGCTGCCCACCCGGCAGGCTCCTTCCCCTCACCTGTGGCTTCAGGAAGCCTGGCGTTCGTGTTGCCAGAGGACTTATTCTGCCACATCTTAAACCCTGTCTCTACTTAAAAACAAAAAACAAAACAAAAAAAAAACCCCAAAAAATTAGCAGGGTGTGGTGGCTCATCCCTGTAGTCCCAGCTACTTGGGAGGCTGAGGCAGGAGAATCGCTTGAACTTGGGGGGCGGAGGTTGCAGTGAGCTGAGATTGTGCCATTGCACTCCAGCCAGGGCAACAAGAGCGAAACTCCGTCTAAAAAAAAAAGAAAAAGCCATGGAGGAAGTTGCCCCACTGGGTAAGGAATCCTGTGGCTGGTGCCTCATCCTGAAGGACCAAGTAACGGGTTATATTCGCATCAGTGAATTGAGTATTCCAGAAGTGTCTCTGCAACACGTAGCCTTCTGCGGATGGAATTCCAACACATCAAGAGAAAAGCTCCATCTCTCTAATTACAAAAGCATGGGAAACACGAGTAATATCAAACACACAATTATTTAAATGCTTGTGAAATAGAGAATTTTTTTTCTTTTTTTTTTTTTTTCTGAGATGGAGTCTCACCCTGTGACCCAGGCTGGAGTGCAGTGGTGTGATCGCAGCTCACGGCAACCTCTGCTCCCGAGTTCAAGCAATTCTCCTGCCTCAGCCTCCTGAGTAGCTGGGATTACAGGCTCGGCTAATTTTTGTATTGAATATTTTCTAATATAATAATAATTAAGCCAGCCTTGCAAACATATGTCAAATGTTTCATCTGTGTCTGTGAAGTTTAGAAAAGCTAGGATTTTCTGATGTCAGGGAGTATGCATTAATAAAATAATTAAGCTCAGCATTATTTTCTACTTAAAAAGTTTAACTTGTTATTCTGGACAATTGGACATTTGCTGAGCTAAGTGCACCTCCTCTTAGACAGTTGATTGTTACTTCAAATAGTCACTCTTTCTTGTCCACACAGCTTATAATAAAGTAGAAATTTCGATTAAATATTATAATGAAGGTTAAAATAATTAAAAGTAGTTCTGAACAATTTTGCAAGATAAAGATTGGGAGTTAAGAAGCTTTTTTGAAGTGAACTTTTATCAAAAGGCAGGAAATACCCCCTTTCTGCAAGACCTTCTGATGCCCATGTTCTCCTTCTGGTTCCTTCAAAGATGAGCTATCTGGGTGTGGTGATGCTTTTTGCCCCTGTGGTTACAAATATTATTTCCATGCATTTATTACTTTTATGTGGCTTATAATTATTCATTTAACACTCCCAGAGCCAATCGAGTTAGATTCCATCAGCCACACACTGTGGGCAAATTGAGCTTTGACTTGGCCAATCCTTTAGTATTTGTGGTTGCGATCAGATCGATCCTGGAGCAATAGGCATCGATCCCTAAGGCAGGCAGCAAACACGTGTGGTCTGTCTCACACACACACTTTTCAGCTGGTGTACCGATGCCTACGTATGGAGGGCACCACGTGCACTCGTGAATTTGCTGTGCACCCACCAGGACAAGGTCTGAGCCCACTGACAATGGTTGGTTTGTGCCAAGTTGACACCCGAGCCCAGGGAGGACGTGAGGACACGAACTCCTCTGTCAGGTCCCCTTTTCAGGGCTTTTGAGAAAATCTTCAGTTTGCCTTCAGCTAAATACTAAGTCTAGCCATGATTTTCAGTTTTTCAGAGACAACTGAGTGTTTCTAAAACTAAGACTAATTCAGGCCAGTGGAAGGAAAAGGTTATTGGGTTCAGAGCTTGGTCTCAGGGACCATCCTTGAAAATAACCACATTATTGTTGTAATTTAAAACTTGGTCTACAGCTACTCTTCAGCAGACGGTGATGGAGGTGGCAGTGTCAAGGTTAAAACATAAATTGAAAGAACAGAGTAACCAAGCCATGAGATAACTTCTCAGTGAGAGACGGCAACGCACACGTGAATACATACACAGGGTCTTTAGGCAAGGAATTCGTGCCGAATGAATGAGGTGGGGGATTCATTAACTTCAACAACAGGTTAGATTTTATTTTCAGATCCTATAACATGTTCTGAGATGAGAATATGTTTAGAGTTTTGCTTGGGAAAAACTAATTACTTACAAATATTTATTAATAAAAGTTCATTTGCCCAAATTACCTACAGTCCCGAATTAACATCTGAGGTTTATGCACTCTATTTCTCAATAATAAATAAAGATCTAGTAGTTTCTTGGGTGAAATTATAGGCTGATTATTCAACTTACTACTCAGCATGTGTCTATAATGGCCAATAATAACTGCATTGTTTATCTTTAGAAGAATATGCTTTAACAGTACCCAGCTCTTGAATTACCAGTAGGATTTTTAAGAATCCCAAATATAAAGGGTCTGGGTTGCAAAATTTTTCTTGATGGTTCCAAACCTAACATTTTAAGTAGGCTGAAGCTGTGCAGTTCCACAGACCTGTCAGCTGTATTTCATGGTGGAGTGTGATGCTCTGTTACTAAAAATCACAAAGAAAAACAAACAAGGGTGAGAGGCTTATGTGCAAAATCTTCCTTAAATGATCTCAATGTGTGGGGAAGTCTTTCTACACTTTCTAATTGTGTATTCATGAGACTGTCACCATTTGACATGGAAAATGTTTTTCCAGGCCTGCTTGTTCTGCTGCAGCAGCGGCGTGACGGGGGGCAGGCATGTTTCTTCTGGGTAAATTGAGGTCACAACGGGAGCTGTTCTTAAACCGTCCTTGATACGGCAAAGAGAAAAAAAATCAAATAACAGAAACATTAAAAGACCTTGTCAGTTATAAAAATGATTTTGTCATTTAGATATTTTATCCCTATTTGTAAAAAGGTATTGGCATTAAAATTCAGATGTTCTTTAATTAAGCTAGAAGGAACACAAAATGGAATTAGTCATACCTAAAATAACCACGAGGAATGAAGGAAATAATTTACACTTTTCTGTAAAAATTCTAGTTTATAGATCATTCTGTAATTTAAAATAGGTGCATCATACCAACTTAGAAAGTATGGGGGAAGGGTTACCCATTTCCCATGTTCACAAATAATCACATTTGGAACGACTGTAATCAAACATTTATTTCCACATGTTTGAATCATATACAGTGAACGATTCATACCAATATGAACAAGTTCTTGCATCTTTCACTGCAGGGCGTGGCCTATGCATCATTTGTTTTGTTTTTCATTTACTGATGTAAAGAACTTTGGACAGAACAGAATACAAACATAATCTGACACCGTGACATCTCTTCTTCCTCTTATCTTACCAGCTTTCTGATTTTCCCACAGGGTTTTCCAAGCTCCGCGAAAGGCCAGTATTCGCTAGGAATGGTCTGTCCAAATGACAATCTATGATACTTCCAATGAAAACAGGCCAAAGATGCAGACGGTGGTAGAAATCAGGACAGTAACACCAATGTTCATAGTTTAGGCTCTCTGATATTCTACTAAGGAACAACAAGAAAAAAAACCACATTGTTTTCAATTGCATACTCTTTTGAATATATAGTGCTGTAATAAGGGGCTGTGCGTGTACTTGTGTGCAGGACTCATGGAAAAATCAAATATGTTTCTAACACCTCTTATCTAACAGAATATGCAGTAAGCATCAGTTCACAGCTTGATTTTATTTTACCAAGTATAGTTGCATTTTTAACATCAATAAGTTCAATGGCTTTTTCTTATAAAAGATACAAACACATTTTTCATGATCCAAAAATGATTCCATGTAGTTTCTTTAGCAAATTTATTTGTAATTGATTTTTCATATCTATGGGAGAATATTTTTAGGTAATAACTCATATTTTCTCTCTCTATATAAATACCATCAATTTTTTTCATGATTATTTTTGGGTAAAGAGAAAGATGTACATTAGTGGTAGTTCTTTAAAAAAAAAAACATGGAATTTTACAACTGAAAAGGATTTGAATGTCATCAAATTCTACCCTCTTCCTACAGATGGGAAAGCAGATTTTACATGGCACAGGAGGAATGAGAACCCTCTCCAAGTAGGGCCCTCTCCCCGGGTCCCAGCGTGGATTGTACCAGCCAGGACGATGCAGGGAGGACGAGGTCACGCCCCAAGCCTCGCTTGGTACAGAAATGCTGAAAGGAGAAAGACAAAAAACAAAAAAAAGCCTCTATTGTGATTTCATTTTAAAGTTTTCACTTCATAAAGAATACTGAGAATTAATGCCCAATATTTCCTTCTTAAATGAAAAAGGGGAATGTCATTTCCTTCCTCATGTTATATAGAATATTTTGTAGACCAAGTTTTAACACAGCTAAAAAGCAGCAAACAGGTCTGCCGGTATAAATGCTTCATGCCCTCTTTTTTTCAATGAAGCACCTGCCGGTATAAACGCTTCATGCCCTCTTTTTTTCAATGAAGCACTGTGTCCTAAGAAACTTTTCAAAGGAATAAACAAGTACTGGCTCCCTGTCTCAGTAATTAGCAAATGAGCACAAGGTTGTAACACAAAGGCCTGAACACGGGGCCCTCAGGTTGGCGGTGAGCTGGCGGGTGACAGGCTGGGCGAGAATGACACATGTGCAGCACGGTCTCCAGCTTCACGCGTGCACCAGAAAGATGAGAGGTCTGGACGTCTGCGGCGTTAGACAAACAGCCACAGTGAATACAGGGATTTGAAGCTGGTTGGGCTGGAAACATACATGCAGCCTAGCAATAAAGAAATGGCCCTGATGTTCACTGTGGCTTCGTAAAACACAAGATGGGGACTGGGCAACGCCTGCCAAACGCAGAAAAGCAGGTAGGGGCTCCATGCCTCCGAGCTTCCATGGGGCCAAAATTAAACAGCGAGAGCTGGAAGACAATTGCTTTTTAGCCCTTTAGTAGTACTTATTAATTAGCTTAAATGTTAATGTTTCCTGTAATGAACCTAGAAATGTATTTAAATAATTTTTAGGGATTGTTGGCATTTATGATTCTTTGATACACAGTCTACATCACCACAGTTGGCATGAGAAAGCAGCAAACACCCAGGCTTGCCAAGCCAAACACCTCTGATCTTACCTCTGGAAGTATTTTTGAAATACAAGTAGTAAATCCCTTCTCTCCTGCATGTTAGTTTATATTAATTACTTTAGATGGCTGTACATTTTTTGCTAATTCCTTACTTTAAAAAAATTGAATTTACTAGTCAGTTTACATTTTATAATTTCTATTCTAGCATTGAAATCTACATGGTTTGATTTCTAAGGCTTATAATATCTGCTGGAAGGTTGGCCTGGATTGGTTAGTTTAGTGGTTAGTACCTTTATCATTCCTTAAAATCCACCTGGCACGTCCCAGGTAAAAATTACTGTAGCTTCTAGGTTATCAGTAGTTATTCATTTTAAAAATTAAAAAAAAAAAAAAAAAGAAAAAGAAGAAATTGATTACATATCTTGAAATCCAGGAGCTATAAAATCATTCTTATCAACCGTTATCAGTGAAGTAAAGCTTATTTTAAATTAAGGACGTTCTCCATCTGGAATTAAGCTGTGTGGAGCTGCCACCATGAGCTCACAAAGCTGCTGCTGCTGCCACACTGTAAGCACCGTCCCACCCACTCCTGTCCTGTCATGTGATTTGATGCACATCTATTTGTTCAAGCGACCTGAAAAGCCGGTATTTTCACTTCATGCTGACAACGGGAAGGCAATTCCGAGTGGTCACTTTTGGGCACTGCGGAGTCTCTGATATGTAGGAATTTTCTACCACATCTTCTTCCATCACAGATGTAAAAAGAATCCACAACTAGGAGGCTGAATTTTTATTTTGGAAAAAAGCAAAAAACAAAAATTTCAAGACCAATCAAGATGCACTGAGACACTGCTTAAATCTAAGCTGCCAAGCTGTGTTGACGTTCCTGGTGGAAATACCACGGATACACACCCACCACAAATGACCTCCTCAAATTCCACTTTCTCCATTAGAAAAATCAAGGAATGCAACTCAGAAATAACATTACATCCTGCATTTTATTCAATTCCATATGACAAAAATAGTAACCTAGACTAAGACATCCATTTCAGTCAGCAGATGTGTCAAGCCACAAGATTTAATAATAAAAAATATTGGGTCTAGGTAACAATCCCCAGCTGCTCAGAGAGGTCCCAGCCCCGCATGGCATTACAGTATAAAAATAGTGTCTCTCTTCACCATGCAGAGGGATGGCCTAGCCCTGCACACAGGAGGGTCAGTCTCACTGTACCTTCATGAGCCATCTTATTTACAACACTTTACATTTCTCTTTAGTTATATACACATCCTTTTGGGAGAAGAGAGAACACTATATGGTACCAAATACTAACCAAAAACAAACAAACAAAAAAACCACACACACACACACACCAAAAAGGACACAGATAAATAATGAAAACATTCAACTGCTGAAACACAGTGACCTTAAGCCACCTCAGTTTTCTCTGCCTAATGCTTGAGACACCCCGAGCCCTCATCCCGTGAGAAGAGGTGGCATGGTGGGGCGAAGTTACATCTCATCACCGTGGAAAACAGAGCTGTAGAGTTCAGTGTTGATTTCCAATAGAAATAAACAGCTAATGAGTCTTTGATACTTTTTGTTTAGTGACACGCTGGCACAAACAGCCCATCCTCTTACAATGATTGTTGATGCTGCTGTGGTTGTTAGGAGAAGATTGTTCTATTTTTCTGTCTCGACCGAGAAGACTTCACTGTCTGATTCTTTCTTCAGGGGCATGCAACTCCTTGCAGTTACCCAGCTACCAGAGCATCTCTTGAACAATTTTGTTGTTGGAAGTTCATAGTGTCAGACGCCAGCACACTTGCAACGCACGAAAATGAGGTAGTTCACGACGCCGTGTTTGTGCTGCCTCGGCCGCCCCAGCCTCCGGGGCCCTCCTGGCTGGATGCAGCTCAGCCATCAGCGTCAGGCTGTGTTCTGAAAAATCAGAGGACACTGTGCTTTGCTTTCATCTGAGAAGATAATAAATAAATCAGGAACTCGGAAAATTTCAAAGTCATGACTGATTGTACTGCCTGATACTTGCCATTTCTCTTGGGTTTACTGTACATGTGACCAGTGCCACCAGGCAGCCACAATCTTGTCTGTGGGTGAGAGAGAGAGACAGACCCGCTTACATGAAAATCAGACCTGCAGAAGGTTATCCTAGTTCCTTCCTGGCTTGTACTGACGTCATAGTCCTAGGATGAATTCACCAAGGTTTCGTTAGGGGGCGGTCACAGTTTTAAAGTGGGCTTTGTGGAAAAGTTAAATAAATCATTTTAATTTAAGAAACGGCAGGCCCTACTTTACTGAAAAGCTGACAAGTCTTGGTGGCTTTTCAAGTGGCAGAGATTTCTAATATTGTTTGACCATAAGACAAAACAAGGAACTGTAACAGTTTTCCCATTTTCCTTAAACTGAAGTACTATTTATAAAATACTTTACATTTTTTTAAATTTTCAAATTATAGACAAACCTCCCTAATACAAAATACTAAAAGTGCAATAGTATAAATTAAGAGTTTGCAACCACATTATACAAACATTACCTTTTTATTGTACAGCTTTGATAATGTGAAATATTTTCTCACAACTGTTTATAATGTTGTGAGTCATTTACGGTGATGTTTGTCTGTAACTCGTTCCCCAGTTATTGGGCTACAGACCACACTAGAAAACAACTGTCCACATAGCAGCTACAAACATTTAAATTAAAAAAAAAAAAAAAAAAGGCTTATTACTGACAGGTACTTGCACACGAAAAGCATGCTATCTTTCCCAACAGAACTTCACAATTTTGCCTGCATTGAAATAATCCACTTATTTATAGTAAAACAAATCTTGCTTAAAAAAAAAAATCACACAGCCAGATGTATTCTGCAGTACAAAAGCTTCGTTTAAGGTCGGGGCTATTATATTGTCTGTTACCCGCATTATCTTAACATCATAAATACTACAGACGAAGATAGTGTCATGATACACAGCATTGGGAGTACTAAACCACGTCTTTAACATGAAGAGTTCTAAAAAACACCGTTCAAGTGTCTAACTAATTCAAAAGAAACCATCAAATGAGTTTCACTGGAATACCGCAGAGAACCCCTTTCTCCCTCGGAGAGATTATTAGGTTTCAGGAGAAAGGAAGTGGACATGGTCTGAGCTCTTTCTGTTCCTAAGGCGGTTTTCCAAGCACTTTTTTTTTTGAAGGAAGCTTATTTAAAAGATTGCAGAGTTCTCGAGAACAGTCAGGCTTGCTGTTGAAGGGAGCGCCATGCAGCGCTTACAAGACCACCTCTCGGCAGCCGCACAAAGTGTTTTCTGCTATGGGTGAAAGTGTAATGAGAACCGAGGCAAGAAAGGTCGGAGGCCTGATGCTCCAACTTCAAAACGTGGGCCTGGGCAGGGCAGATGAGCGAGTCACTGGCTAGTTGATACCAATCTCCTTGTTATCCTCGATAAACCGCGTGAATGGGCGGCTGGCTGCTGTTTCTGAGCTCGCTTTGTCCAAGCTGACGATGGGTGGGCTACTGCCAGTGCGTGCTTTGTCCATCCCACTGGCCATGCTGCCCAGAGGGGGGAGGGCGCTGCCCCCAAGACTCACGGGGAGCTGGGGGATGCCGCCGTTCTGGATGACGGAGATCTCGTTGTTCTTCATGGCGAGCCCGTTAGTGATGGCTGCAGCATACTGGTTCCAAAAACTGGGGTCGACGTTCATTGCCCGAGCTGCCAGGTCCTTCTGGAACATTTCAGAGAACTTCAGGGCATCACCCCCTAGGAGAGCCATGGGGTTCTCCACAGACAGGCGGCGGCCGCGTCTCGCGGGGGCGTTATTCCACATGTGTGTCCCCATGTGCACCTGCGCGAGACACGGAGACAGCCCACGAGTAAGTGCCTAGACACGGAGGCAGAGCTGCTCCGCTTCCAGCGCAGCAGACAGAGGTCCACCCCGCTCCCAAGCGCGACTTACGGACAACAAAACACAGGTGGACTTTTCTGGGCACTTTATATTTCTACATGCAAACATCTTGTTTTATTGAATACAATAAGCAAAACCAACAAATATAAATTAATGAGTGCGGTCTTTCAGTTGACAAACTTTCGAGTAATTTTCTCCTAAGGTGTAAAACCCACATGGCCACGCAGAGAATGTTCTGGAGCTCGAAGGGTCCGGGTCTTGCTCCTTCACTTGCCCAAGCCCTGGCTCCCTTCTGACCTCTACTGTCCCCCACTTTGCATCTTCTGCTGCTGGGACTCTCTGACTGTGCCCCTCTCCTCTTGCTTTCTCTCAAACAAAGAAACATTAATTCTAGAACATCCCAGGGCCACCTGCCAGCAGGCCCTGCGGGCAGTTCTTATCCAGCCCACGCACGCCAGGTAGAAACCACAGGCATCGATCTTTGGGCTGTCTGAAGAGGCTGCCGGAACCCAGACAGGCTGGCTTTGCAAACGTGCACTTCACAGACGACAGAAAGCAGCCATCAGTCAACACAGCACAAGGCACAGGCCTGAGCCACCCAGTACTCGTCACACACCCGCTCTACCGCTGCTGCTGCGATCTCATACAGGAACACTGCACAGCGCTGGCTCCTCTGCCCCACGCCAGGAGCTTCTCACCCAGCGCCCCTCCCATGGGCCCTTTTGGCAGCCACACGGACAGAACGACAGGGCCTGCTGAGTGGCCTCGCCTTGGTACTGCTTGTATTACATGTGAGTTTTAAAACCAAGTTTATTTTCTATCAGATTCAAGAGGGCTTCAGGCCCTGGACCTGCCTACCAAGTTGCAAAGTGAGCATTCTCACCCCTAAGGAATGCCTAACCTGGCTGAAGGCATCAGAGGCCCAGCTGCACGTGTTCCCCGGGAGAGGCCCAGGCTCCTGTTCCCCCCACAGCGGATTAACAGGATGTAGTCTCAGTGTGTGTGCACAGGGACACACAGGCATGCCAGACACCACACACGACATGCACATTTGCACACGCACGTTATAAATATATGGATACATTACATACACCCACACATAGGGCACCTACACATGCACACACACACGACCCATACACACCTGCACACACATAGGTACACGCTACTCACCCACACGCACACCCGACACACACATATCACACCCTATAACACGCACACATCACGCACACACACCCACAGGCGTGGCATCTCACCCCCCTGGCCAGGATAGGAGCAGGACCTCGGCCGCTGTGTCTGCGGCAGGTGATGGAGAAAGCCACCGTGGCTCGGCCGCACCGCAGCCGGGGCTGGAGCCTGCCATGCTCTTACCTTGAGGTTGCCCTTAGTGGTGAAGGCCCGGCCGCAGATGGTGCAGCCGAACGGCTTCTCGCCGGTGTGCGTGCGCTCATGGATCTGCAGGGCGCTGGCCGAGGAGAAGGTCTTCCCGCACGACTGGCAGTTGTGCTGCTTGGGCGTCCGGCGCGGTGGGGGGGCCAGCATGGGCGCCAGGCCCGGGCCCATCACTGTCTGAGGCCCGGCGGGGACCTGGACGCCCGCGGGCAGCGGGGGACCCTCGCCCAGCGCCATGGCCTTGCCGTGACCGTTCACTTCCATTTTGATCATGGTGGGTGCGGCGCTGGAGATCAGGCTAGGAGTGCTTTGGCTGGGACCTAGAGCAAAGTTGGGGTCAAATAACTGAGAAGGCAGCTCTTTCAATCTGTGTGTCAGTAAGTGCTGTTTTAAATTACCCATAGTGGAGCACCCTCGCCTGCAGAGCGCGCAGACGAATGGCCGCTCCTTAGTATGGCTGCGGTAGTGGATTTCCAACGCGCTCTTGCAAGCAAAAGGCTTGCCACAGACACCACACACAGTGCTGGGACACTTACCCCGCTCCCTGCTCAGGAACAGCAGGCTGAAGGGCGCCTCCTCCTTGATGCCCGCGCGGCCAGGGGCGCCTCCGCTGCCCGGGGCGGCGGCTGGGCTGTCCGGCCTCTCGGTCTTGAGCGGGATTTCCTGGGGCTCCTCCGGGGCGCCCAGGCCCGGGGACTTGGAGCGGAAGCTCTCACCATTGCTGGGGGCCGGCGACAGGGCCTGCGAGGACGAGGACTCGGACAGGGCGGGGCTGCCCGCGCTGCGGCTCTCCAGGTCGCCCACGGCCGACGAGGAGTCGTTGCTCAGGCGGTCACTCTCCCCGGACCCGTTCTCCACGGACTTGAGGCCGGTCAGCTGCTGGCAGCTCATGACCGAGTCGATCATCTTCATCTGGTTCTCCAGGGCGGCAATGCTGGAGATGACCGAGGGCGGGGAGGGCGGGCAGGACCCCGCGTAGGACAGGAGTGGCTTGGCCGGGTCGGTGGCCGCGTCCTTCAGCTCAGCGTCGTCCTCCATGGAGTTCTCGTCCATGTCGTCATCGTAGCTGCTCAGGGTCTCCGCGTTCTTGTCGTCGTAGGCCAGCTCGGAGTCCATGGCATCCTGGAAGCCCTCCGGCAGCGGCGTGTTGGGGATCTGGCCGCCCATGTGCATGCGGATGTGCTGCTGCAGGACCACGGCGTTGGTGAACTTCTTCTGGCAGATGGGGCAGGAGTGCTGCACGCGCAGGGGCGGCTTTGCACGGTGCACGCCGAAGTGCGTCTTGAGGTTGCCCTTGGTGGTGAAGGCGCGGCCGCAGATCTTGCACTTGAACGGCCGCTCCCCCGTGTGCGTCCGGTAGTGCATCTTCAGCGCGCTCTGGCAGCTCAGCACCCGGTGGCAGATGACGCACTGGTTCGGGTCCGTCATCTTCTTGTCGATGTTCTCCACCAGCTGCTGCAGCTTCGAGGTTTCCGACGTTTGCATCGAGTCTAGCAGCCCCCCGAACGGAAACTGGGCCTTGAACTGCTCGGAGACGGCGGGCAGCCCGGGGCTGCCGAGGCTCGTGGGTGCGCCGTCCACCGATGTGGGTGCAGCGCTAGCCTGCGCGCCCACGGGAGCGTCCCCGGCCCTGGCGTTGGTGCAGGGCAGGCTGACGGGCTCGGCTTTAGTGAGGGGCGGCCCGCCGAGGAGCGACTGTGGGGACTCGGCGGTGGCCGACACGCCGGACTCCACGTGGTTGAGGCCTGGGGACAAGGAGGCGCACTCGCTGGAGGCGGGCGAGGGCCTCTGCGGGGAGCGGCTGGCTGGGGTGGCGCTGGGAGAGTCGGCGTAGCCGTGCGCGCCAGGGACAGTGGGCGGCAGTTGCAGCCCCACGGACGTGGGCACGGTGGGCAGCACGGGCTTGCTGTCCAGCCAGGTGGTCACGGGCTTCTCGGGGGGCAGCGACATGCCGTAGGGGATGCCCGAGCAGGTGGGCACGTTGTCCAGGTACTCGGGGACCGGGTAAGGGTTCATCTGGATGTGGGGGTACTTCTCCTTGTGCCTCTGGAAGTGCACCTTCAGGTTGCCTTTGGTGGAGAAGCGGTTCCCGCAGATGTTGCACTTGAAGGGCCGCTCGCCTGTGTGCGAGCGCAGGTGGATCTGGAGCGCGCTGTCGCTGCCGAAGACCTTGGCGCAGAAGCGGCATTTGTGCTTGAAGAACGGGTCCTCGGCGCTGGCTTTGGGCTCGAACACCGACACATTGGGCGGCTTGCCCTTGCGGTGCTTCATGAGCGCGGACAGCGGGTCCAGAGCGTTGGCCGTGGCCGCGATGCTGACCAGCGGGTTGGGGAAGATGACGCCGCTGGCGGAAGTCTGAGGTAGAAGCGGACTTGGCAGGCCGGGCGCCGCACCCAGCAGGGACCCCGGGGCCAGGGCAGGCGGCGTGGATGCGCTCTGCGGCTGCGACGAGGCTGCGCTCTGCGGCGCTGGCGCCGGGGCGGGGGCAGCGGGGGCAGGGGCGGCGCTGGGGGCGGCGGGCGCGCTGGGCTCCGCAGGGCCGCCGGGGGTGCTGGCGCCAGACTCGGGCCGGGACAGCGGCTGCGCGCCCTCGAAGGCGGCCGGGGCGGCGGGGCCCGAGCCCGCGATGGCGGCGGCAGGGGCCCCGGCCGACAGCGGGAGCGCGGCCAGCCCGGGCAGCTGGCTGGGGGCCGGGCCCGGTGCGCTCGGGGCGGCCGCGGGGCTGAGTGAGGGCCGCGGCGGCGGGCGCTGCATGAGGGCCACCTGGCTGCGGATCTGCTCGATGAGCTGCAGCTGGTGGATCTGCTGCTGCTGCAGGGCCATGAGCTGTTCCAGGATCAGGGGCACGGCTGCAGCTGCCACGCCTCCACCTGCTCCCGAGCCGCCTGCCGCGCGCGCGCCCTGCGAGAACTGCGCCACCGCCACCTTGGTGCTCAGCAGCGCCTCCAGGGTCACGTTGGTGCTGGGCGCGCCGTAGGCGGGCGTTGGGGGTGCAGGGGCCGCAGGCGGGGGCCGGGGCGCGCGCGTGTCCCCCGCGGGTTCCGCGTCCATGGGCTCGGCCTCCTTCTCCACCGGCCTGGCCTCGCCCTCCGCGCCCTCCGCACCCGCCTCCTCGGCCGCCTCGCTTTCGGCGCGCTCGCTGGGGGAGCTGGCGGGCGAAGGCTCGGGGAAGTCCTCGGGGGGCGGCGCGGGCGCGTCCTCGTGCACGATCAGCACGGGCGGGAGCTTGGTGCAGCTCCGCTGGTGCTCCAGGAAGTCCGCCCACTTGAAGAACTCGGCGCAGCATTTCTCGCACACGCTGGTCTCCTCGCCCCCGCTGCGGCTCTCGGGCCCGCTGTCTGCGTCCTCCGCACCTTCCCCCGGGGCGGCTGCAAGACCAAGAGAGTGAGTCAGCCGGGGCTCGGCGCCCGCCCTCCGTCTCAAAATTTTGCACGAGTAAAATCAATATTTTTTATTTTGTACAAATTACCCCACTTCGACATTTCTGACGTCCCAGCGTGCGTATTCTATGACTCTTTCTAGCTAGCTAATCATTTTCTTAGCCCAATCCATCAAATTATGAGGCCCTATCAATTGTGGATCCTGCTTCTTAATGAAATTCCATAGAAGCCATTGATTTCCAATATTTTCATACAATCTGCGGCTACCCTGTCTGTTGAGTACAAAGCCGGCTTTCGATGGGCTCATTAGGATTCCCCTTTACCATCCGGCTTCCTCATTTCCAGCAAAATTAGAGATGCCTTTGCCAGTTCACTTAACATTGCTAAACTAATCTGTAACCTTTCAAACTCACATCAACACCTGACAGGGGGCCGCGCTGTGGCCGGTGTGGTCCCCACCACGCGGATTTCTCATCTTTACGCAGCGCGGAGACATTCCAGATTTAAGGTAAGGTTACTTACAGAACCTCTGAGCCAATGGGCATTTACTTTATGTAGGCAATTTTGGCTAAATGCTCTCATTTGTGAATGTAACAAAGGAAACATAAGCGTTTCTTACATCAGCTCAGAAAAACAATCTCCGCCAACTCAGAGCGACAGAGCAGTTCCCCCCCCCCCACCCTTGTACTTTCTTCCAGATAGGGTACACTTCTACATTTTAGACTTTGCCAAATCAATACAGTCTAGGCCTAAAATGCATCATGTGTAATACAATTAATTGGCTCTGTCAGATGCAATATTTCTTGGCAAAATGAACTAAAATTACATGTTACTGTTATTAGCCAATAGAATTCAGTGGTTTGTTAACAAACTAGAAATTATATATTTAAAGTTCATTTATGTTGACATGTTTAACATGAGAATGTTGTAGTCAGACACACTTTTTGTACCTATTTTCATCTATTCTCATAGAAGACTTAGCAAATTATATGCTTGTGCCATAGTGGAAAACCCTCTAATTGGTTACACATGTTTAATTACTGTTGTAGGCAGCCACTTCCTCCGTCTCCCCTTACCCTCTTGTGCCGAGTAACAACTATGTTTAATGAAGAACTCTAATTCACACCTGATCAAATAAATAGCTATACAGGAATGAGAAACCAACATACAGCAACGTTGCTACCTTCCATTTTTTGGGTGGTTGGGGTGAAAAGTAATTCCCAATAATTACTCAGGTTCTCTGTGCTCGCCTGGATATTACTGACTCGTAACTGCTTTTTGTCAACTTACAGATGGAGTGATGGCAACAAATCAGTTCCAACAGACACAATGACAGCTGCACATCAGCTCTTTGTTAAACGCGCACAGTTGAGTGTGAGAACAAAACATCTTCAAGTCTGTGTCCCCGGAAATAATTTACTGTTAGAACATCAACAAATGCAGCATTTGCTAAAAAGCTCCACATTTGTTGTTGATGTTTAGGGTTCTGGAAAAAGAATAATTTAGCACTGAGTTCAATAGAGAATTCTGATTTTTAAAAAAATGTCCTGTAAAAACATACTTTTCCTCTACTTGAAAAGAAAAATATTTTTTGAGGCTAGTTTGTGACTCACCATGAGGCCATTATTCTCAGGTAATTTATACATGCCTTTAAAAAATTATTAGCAGTGTTCAATTAGCATTTTCTTAACTGGCTAAACCATCTGAAGGGGAAAGAAGTTAGAGCTTGCAGCCCATAAAGCCTGCTAGACTTTTAAACTAAATTCAGCGCCGAAGACCAGACTGCAGCAAGAGGTCTCATTACTGTATGGAGGAAGGAATGTAATAGGTATCTGTAATGAGGTTGACTATAGCTGGAAGCAAAGACACAGCTGATTTATACTGCAGATAGGCACATTAGCAAAATAAATACTCCAAGTACTCAACTTTGCTCAATGTATGCAAAATCTAATTTTAAACCCGCAAAGGTTATGGAATAGGGCAAAGAACAAAAAGAGCCTCAAATCTTCAGGTAATTTCTTAATGACTGATAAAAAGGCCTATCTCAAAATCTAGTCATGTATCTTAAAAATAATCACAAAATGCAAAGAATTTCTACTTTTAAATTTCTTTTTAAGAGTGGAATGTTCTTCAGCAGCCCTGAATGTTTAAAAACAAAAATCTAAGTAGCCACTTAAAAAGTTCATCTGCATTAAACCATCCATACACATCTATATGGCACAGAAATAACTACTGTAACTAAACAAGGAACAGAGTGTTTTAAGGGGTTTTCCAATATTTTGAAACAATGATACAAAATATTTTAAAAAGGAACATCCCAAGAAATTAAATGCTTGTTAATTCCTTGAAACATTTTTTACACTTAACTCCTTACAGGAGATAAAATGTATAACTTATATGCTACACAAAAACATTCAGGTAGTATATATAGTTACAGTTTTACAAAGTGTGTATCTTATTAAAAGAATACTTTTTCTTTATAGGGAATGTGTATTAGGGACAGTTCATTGAGAAAAATGCTTTAAAATTAGGTTGATCCTTGGATCATTTCAAGTGAGTTTAGTGTTGAAAGAATTAACTTACATAACCACAGATACATTTTATCTTTAAAAATGAACATTTCCCAGATTTTGTCACAAACCATAGTGTGTGATAAATATCACTTTTGTTTTTCACAAAGATCTTGTGCTTTTTGCAAAGGTCCTGACCCAAACAAATCTCTATTTACCTTAACAATTTGCATTTTTACATTCCCATTAGTTTTTTTTAAATATGTTAAATATTTTTAGGGTTCACTTCCTAATTCATGGATGTTGGGAAGTGTTTCCACATGTGATTTCACTTTTCCCATTGGTAAGTTTGCTAAATTGCAACTGTTTCTCGATTGTGGAAACCGTGCGTAGAATGTTTAAGCACTTTCTGCCACATAGTAAGTCATTTTGTTTAAAGCAATTATAAGTGATAATTACCAATACAATGAAGATATTCTTTTCAAAGTAAAATAAGCTTCCATTTATTCCTTCAAAATTGAAAAAGGAAATTGTGTTAAAAAATGTCATTGTGACCATTTGGACCTGTTAACAGTTCATTTTGTTAATGAGCCCAAGGAAACAGACTATGCTGGATTTTATAAGCAAAGCTCCGTAATAAATTTGGCTTTTGACTAAAACAGACCTTAAAGGTTATTATTAATGAAGGAAAAAAATTTCAATACAACTCAGATTATTTCAGGCAAATCAGGATCATCATCTATATTTTCTATTGAGGTGTGTATAAAATATCAATGTGATCACCTCAATTGTTCTCGCGTGCCCCAGCTGTGACTGTGTCTCACTATCAACATTTGAATGTGATTAGCATTCCATAAAAGTTGTAGATAAGAACGAATTTCACAACATAGCCCCGAATAAAAGAAATACAGGTAAAAACACTCACGTGTGGAATTGAAACAATCACATATGGAATTGAAATTCTGTCTGCATACTTCAAGAATGTTATTAAACAATAGTAAGCACTTGACTGAACTGGTTGTAGGAAATAACCAAAGTGAACATATTTTACTAAGGACAGAGTTTCCTGAGAACTAGAAAGACATTTTGCTGGCTTGCAGACTGAGGAGTGCTGGCTTCTGATGCATTCTGAAGAATAAGTTCTTATAAACTGCTTCCATGGCCCTTCTCATGATGATGATTAAATGCATATATTACAGTGTTTATGTGCCAATCTGACATTATTTACTTACGTTTAAGTGCTGTCTATAACAAGCAAACCCATATGGGAAAAATCTGCATTTAGTCCACAATTTTATCATATAAACTTCTAAAGCCCTTTAATCCTGCCATCATTTAAAGCCAGTATTATGTCAGATTCAAATGTATTTAACCACCTTTTTAAATTAAACTTGTATTTTGAACTGGCCTGTATGCATGTTCCAAAAATAGAAGTTATTACATTAATTAATATGGCCTAAACTTTTTATGTCAAGGCAAAACCATGTCAGCGAGGCACTGTAACAACAGTACAACAGTGACAAGTTTGAGAAATTTATTTCCAATGCAATTTTCATTTTCTTCCTCTCTTTGTTTAAGGGGCGAATTAAAAAGCAAGCATTGCAAACATTATCATTAATGTCAAAGGAACTTATTTTTTGCACACTATTCAACAGCTAAGAGACGTGAAACTGTAAACAGGCAGGGGATGGGCAGGAATGGGATTTTATTAGAACAAGTTAAGAAAAATGCCAACCAGTTCACCAACTAACAGAACTTAGCGAACACTCTTCCCTTCTTGGTGAATGAGAGTATCTGGCCAGGGCTACTTTTAGGAAGTACCAACCCATTTGCTTCTATGTGAACGTGAAGGTGGCCTCAGGACCTGCTCTGCCACAACCCGCCTTAGCTGATCTCAAATTAAGTATCACACCCATGGTGCCATGTTGGCCATCTGCACTACACAGGATAAAAATATAGTTTTTTTTTCCATTTAATTTACAGTGATCCCAATATCTGCTGTTTACACCTAGATTTTCAGGGCCTCTATTACCATGTGCACATTCCTTCCTGTCTGTGTTTCTCAGTTGTACAGAAGAGGGGAGGAAGGTCCCACAGGCCTTTCAGAGAAAACCTCTAACAAAAGCATAGCTTCAAAGACGATAGTTAAAAAAAATATGTATTTTCCCCTTCTAACTAATAAAATATACACAGAATGTTTAACAAAAATGTTCCTATTCTTAGGAGTGACTCTTGGTGTGAAAGGAACCCCTCAGACTGTCTGTTTTTGGTCTTCGCTCAGCTTTAATCCCTGGTCTGTTATAGAATCTATCTATCTTCTATCAGAATGACAGGCAGAATTTTTAGCCTGGATGATCTTTTTAAAGCCACAAGTGAAAAACATCATTGTAATATGTGTGTGTAAAATACAGCTATGTGATTTCCAAGCAAACTAATCCTCTGATTTGGTTTTACATGAGAAATTACATGAGAAAAAACCTAAAACAGGTTTTTTTTTTAAAAATAAGTTTACTTAGAATAATATTAAAATGCTCAATTTTTACATAAATTTTGTGTATGAAATATATAACTTAAGATATGCTGTGTATACCTATATAATATTTAAGACGATGCTTTCTTCAAAAATTTCAAGCTACAGTTCTTGGCATTTCAAGTACAGTGGTTTTTAAGTAAGCTAACCAATTACAAAGTAGTATTAATATAGGTGTTCTGTAATTTCCTTTATCAATCTCAAAAGCTCACCTTCAATACACTTTTGCTGCATGTTTTTTACTCATTACAATGAACAAGAGAAGCAGAATTTGTTTAGTGCAGGGAAAGGGTTGTTAACTTATCCACTTCAATGAGTAACTTTAAAATGCCACGTGGATCTTCAGGAAAGGAAGACGGACTTTTTCCTTTGCCTTTCCATCTCTTAAAAATCCAGAAAGCATTTTTTTCCAGTTTTCCTAAATTGTTAGGAGACACTTATTTTCTTGCAAATTAATTCTTTTTAACTCCTTATGATAGCTTTGAATCCCATAAAGAAAGATGAATTATCACATACTGAGCCCAAGCTGTGAAACAGGAGGAGACAAATAGAGACCCCTACTGTGTTTAACAATGTAGAAGAAATTCCAGACGCAATAGAAAAATTTTCTGTCCTTTTCCCGAGACCTCAGAGTGTGTACGCACAGCGCTGAACAGTGGAGGGCACTCTTGCCATGCTCAACGCGGCTCTGACCACACACTCCCGCGCGTCGACGCCATGGCCCACACCTCAAATTTGTTAAGTCACGACCACCTGTGGCACAGTCACCAACTGTCTTCTGCTTAAAACATTTGCAGTTTTTAACCTGTGCAGTGAAGCACCCGGGAGGAGACACGGTTGCCTTTATGGGTACATGCAGATGGGAGCTGGACAGCACTCGCATTTGCTTTAACTATCTGCCCTCGACGCTGCTTCAAATAATAAGACGTTTGTTACACTTCAAGGTTGCACAATAGTTCTTTCATTTAGATGTTATGCTGTCATCACACTTATAAGGAACGCGTGTGTATCACTATCTATGCCTAATGAAAAATACGCAGACCTGAAATATGTCAGCTGATGCAAACAATTTCAATCGAAATTTGATGAGGGGGTGAAAACAAGGTTTTGCTAAATCACTTTTGGTGAAGATGCAGATGGTTTACATTCAAAGGCTGTGGTCTCACTGATCCGACACATGAAATTAAACGTGCTATTTCATGACATGCCTACTTGAAAGCACCCAAACACTGTCCATTTTTCAAATCCACTATGCATAGAAATAAATACGCAAAACCACTTAGACATATAAATGCCTACATGTAAATAGCTCTAGAGGGGCACATGAGCCACGCTGCGTCCAGAAGCAAGGCTACCATCAGCTGTGACCATCAGCCCGCTCACACTCGGGATCAGGCGATGGAATCATTTCCATCATTTGTCAGCACTTCATGGCACTTTCATTTCTACAGGCAAAGTTTGCACATATGCAAAAAATCATCCTGGAAAAGCCACTGCCCTGGGTCGTTGAAGCCAGTGACTCTGCACGTATACAGATCCTACAACAGAATTACCAAACAGTGCGGTGAAGGTCACTCTCGAAAAGACCAGTAACGCCGACGAATCACGACAAAGTGCCGCGGCACCTGCAGGGTTAATTAAACAGTTCAAGATGCAATAACGACACAAAAGAAAGCCGTTTTCTCTTCTTCTTTAAGAACTATAAACACTTGTGCTGAACTAGATGGCGTCTGAGAAGCCGTGCAGCACGGCGCAAGCTCGCGGGATCTCTAGTTAACACTCAGATTCAGTGTTAACACTTAACAGAACAGTGGTGAGCCCTGTTGCCAAGGTCAACAGCACAGATGCACTAATTGTATTATGAGCTTGACATCTAGTGGCCACCCCTGGCAGGGCAAAGCAGGCAAAGGTTAAATCAGCAAGGCTTGTCAAAGCACTTCTAACTACCCACCTTCAGGGAGAGACGGTCGGAAGCTGGCCAGCACTCTGCAACCCCACCTTTTCAGACATCAGACAAAAAGGCTTTCTGCGCCGAGCTGGCTGCTAATGCTCGCAGAGAATGCGAAGGGGGTAGGGATTTTAGATAGTAAGCAGAACTAATCTGAAGGTGATTGAAAAAGACAGGCCCACAGAGGAAAATATTTAGACACCACACTGGCATTATCGGATCCCCTTGGTGGACACCGTCTCAGTCTGGAGAACGCCTCCCTTTAATTAAGAAACAAATCAATCTTCATCTCTAACATAGAAACCATTCCATTATTTTATTACAATTAATATTTTATACTTTCTGGCATGTGACTGGCCTGGTTTGCTTAGAAATCAGTTAGCTGCATTTTAAATCATAAATGTGTCGAAATTACATGAGAAATAACCCTAGACAGGTTTTTTTTTTTAAATAAAAGTTTACTTGGAACATTAAATTGCTCAATTTTTACATACAGTTTGTTTCATTGTGTATGAAATGTGTAATAATTAAGGTATGCTGTAATTACAAACCTGTCCTTCCAAGACTAAAACATGTTGGTCTTATTCTGGCAACTACTGAACAAATCATGTAGGAAAATAAAACTAATAAAAACAAAAAATCCTTCCTGTTATATTTAAAAGTTATGCTTCTTGAAACTATCTTGCAGCACTGAAAGATGGTGCATATCCTCATTAGAAGTGAAAAAGATTTTTATTGTACTTAAATAAAAGCTGGTGCCAATACTTTTAAGAATGCTAAATTCCAACTAATGGTCAGCACACAGAATAGAAACCCTGGTTGTGCTTTTGCTGAATTCCCCCCAAAAGAAAATATTCTTAGGGCTACCTGGAAATGAATGGTACAGCTTCTTAGAGATTGCAGTTGGAAATGAAATTTGACCCACTTTTACCATCATCTTGTATACAAAAAAGAATCAGCTTGCTAAGTAATTCCTGCTGTTACTCCATACCTTTTTCTGGCTTTGAACAACAGATCTAAAAATATTGGATAATGCATATGCCATGGAAGTTGAAAACGTACTGCACATAAAATTCGAGAACTGTTACATAATCAGCTCTCTCTCTCTGCAAGCTGGGAATTAATTGGTATGCTTTTTTGTTGATCACAGAAACGTGCACTTTTAAATAGGTTAAGTTTTTTAATGTTGTTTTTAAAAGAAATGTTGGCAAAGTCTTCTTTTCCTCTCCCCTCACCCAACCCGGTTACTTACTTTTTACCTTTCATGTTTCAGAGAAAGCAATCTGCCTGTGAATGTTAGAAAGTAGCTCCTGCATTGTTCCTTTTGGTATGCTGAATTGTAAATGTGTGTAGTGTGCTGGGGGAGCACTGAGGGCAAACCATGCATATACAGATAAAAGAAAAAGATCCTGCGCCAAGCACTGGTGGCCGAGCTTCTTTCCCTTAATTCAAACACAGTCTGTGAAAACCACTGGTAAATTCTTAAATCACATGCTCAACACATTTAAAAGGATTTTTAAGACAGCCATATACTTCTAAGTTGGCAGAAAAAAAAACACACTTTGAAGCAATTAGTGCTAACAAACAAAATACAGGATGGTAAATGGTTTTAAATTATAATACCCTTTTGTTCCTTCTTAAATACATATTTTCTAACAACAACAAAATACATCTTTCTTAAATTATATTTTATACAATAAAGAATAGCAGTATTGTATCTTTTAAAGTTCTTAGTGGGCATATAACTGTCATTGGAAGTTTTAATTAATTTTTCTTAGAACAAAAATATTCAGCTGGCTCACAGGATTACTAGTGGCGCAAAGTTCACTGGATCCTAAAGCTGCAGCGCCTTTCTTCTAAAATAGGAATGAGATCATTTGCAAGTAAGTAATTTTAAAAAGCAATTTCTGTTAGGAATGTCTCAATGACTTAATTTTTTTTTTTAACAAAAGCATGACTTTAGAACTTTACATAAATTATCCTTACTTTTTCTCATTCTAGACACGTCATGTTTCATTCCTGTAGTGGTAAGGTTTGGGTAGCACCAGTTATTTTTGTATAGAATCTTTTCATTGCTTCAAAAATAAATCATAATTCTTTTTTAAGAGATACAGGCTTTGTGCTGTAAATTAATGTGAGTGCATCTCTGTCCCCCATTATACTAAACATTTTTGCATAGAATATTTGTTCTGCAGGACATTATCAGTAGCTTTCCATTTTACTGCATGTAGATGGACCTGCTGCTTTAATTAATATGTCACTCCCCGAGTGATACAAAGGAATTATTTACCTCGTTTCTAAAACACTAAACTAACTGAGCTCACTTGCAACTTCCGGCACGGTCTGTTTATTTCCATTGCATTTAACAAAATTAAAATTTTGAGGAGATCTGACTCAGGTTGGAGTAATTTGGTTTCCACACCCATTTACCTTTTTATAATTTTTACTTAGTTATCTTAGGAACGATGCTGAGTGCGACCGAGTAATACACAAATGGGGCATTCCTTGACTTAACACGGAACAGAGTGTCTGTTATGCTCCTTGAACAAGCTGCTTCGAATATAATTAAATGAGAAAGAACTTAAAAAAAATAGTTTGCCTAAACTCTCTCAAACAAGCATGTGAGCTGCTCGACCAAGACTCGGCCCCACACAGGGTATTTTGGGCCTCTTGCAAAACATGACCAGGAACTGTGGCAACGTCTGGATTACAATTCTGGATGCTGTGAAAAACACAGGCTTGACAAGAACTTCAATTCTACCACGGGTAAAAAACCTGAATATTTTGCATCTCTAAATAAATTCGAGCAGCAACAAGAGGGATTCAAAGTAGAACTTGTGAATAATTTATCCCATCTTAGGCTTTCAAATATAGGCGATATAGCCCTCCACACGTTTACACTATTAAGTTCAGCATGCTCACATTTCTGAAGTGAAATTAAAAATGAATAGCAGTGCCTCAGCTTGTTAATTGTTAAATACCAGGGGGTTTACTCTATTAATTAAAATATGCTTTAATAAAAGGAGACATCGCACATTTTGATACCGACCCTACAAAGCTGAGAAGTATTTACATTGTTGCATTTTGGGGCGGCTGTGAAAGCCGATTTTAAGCCATTCAGGAGCCACAATAATAAAGCTTTAAAATTCCTCACTGGGACGCAATGTAGTTCTTTTGAAGGAAAGACTGTCTTTCTCATTCGGCAGAAATAAATCCATTCATTTGATCATGTAGTCATTGAGGGCGATACAAAACAAACCAAGTGTGAGAAATTCTATGTGATGAAGTAAACAAAACAAAAAAAAATCCATTTCCATGACAAAAAGATTCTTTGTCCTTAATCTACCCACCATATGCAAGCGTTTCTTTTTAGCATATCGCCTGTTCTCATCTTGGCTGACTTGGCTACACAGATAAGACTCCCTTACCTCCACCGCAACAAAAAGACCCCAGCGAGCTCACTAATTTTATTTAATTCATTAATTCTCCAGCCGCGTCATAAGCATGCTCTCTCGTTCTCATCCGACATGGGTGTCTACCCGCTTTGTCAAACTTTACTCCACTGTGTGGGAAACTCTTCCGCCCCGTTTCCTTTTCGCAGACAGTCTCATTCTCAGAGTAAAAAGATCACCATCTGCCTCCAACAACTTATAACAGGTCAATCATAAAAGTTGGCCTGCCTGTTTTTTTAAGGAGCAAATTATTTTACTGCGAGCTGTGCTGCGGGCTCGGGGTCGTGGGGTCGCCCCTCCTCGGCCCTCTTTCCTGGCGCCCTGGGGGCCCCGCGGGGCGCGCCGAAGCCCGGGCGCCGCCGGCCGAGGTTTTGACTCGACGAAGGGGGTGGGGGCGCCCCAAACTTTGCGGGGCTAAGGCGCCACTCTGGGAAGTCCAGCCCTTTGCCAGTCTCTTAACTTTCGCGGCGCCTGCCCTTTGCTCTTGGATGTTTCGAAGAGGACGCTCCTACCAGCGAAATGACTGCAAAGCCGAGGTCTCCAGCGCCCGGCCTCGGCGGATCCAAAAAGACGGGAGAGAAAAGGCCCGCGCAGACGCTGCAACGAACGCCCCGGAAACACGCCGCGAGCAGGGGCCAGGCCCAGGCCGCCGCCGCTGCGCTCACCCCCAGCTTAATTCCCCGGGCGGCCATTAGGCAGAGCCAAGCCCCCGACCTTCTCCTCGCCTCGCGAGGGATCACAGGCTGCGTCAACGCGCTGGGACACCGCGGGTCACCCGAGGCGGTGCGGGGGCCCGGGAGGGGCCGCGGGCCCCCGAACAAAGCTGGCCGGGCGGCGGGGTCCCCAACCCGCGTCCAGCGGTAGGTGGGCTGCGGTCGCCTTCCCCGCCGCCGCCGGCCTCAGCGTCCTGGCGCAGAGACCCTGGGGGGCGGCGCGGCGGCGGAGGCACCGTGGACTCCCTCCCGCCCCGGCCTCCGAGCCGTCCTCGAGCCGGCCGCGGCCTCGGCGCCCTTCGCGGGCAGCTCCCCGACTCCGAGGAGAGGAGCCAAGTTTACTTCGCCCACAACTCTCTCGGCGGCCGCGCGCGCTCCGGCGAAGTACCCGGGGCCCCGCGGCCGGCCTGGCGCGGGGCGGACGCTTGCCCGCAGGAAGCAGGGAACTTTCTCCCGCTCCCGGACGCGCGCATCCGCTCCCGCCGCACGCGCTTCCCCAGCCCGGACGGGCAGCCCCAGACCCCCCGGCCACCCCGCAGCCCCGGCCCTCACCGTGCTCGGGAGCCCCGTCAGGCGGCAGCAGCTCCTCGTCCGACTTGAGGTGCTGGGGCTTGGCCTGCTTGCGCCGAGACATGCTGCTAGCGGCGCTCGGGCCCCGCGCGGGGCAGCGGCATCAGCGGGGCGGCCGGCGGGGACGGCGCGGGGCGGCCTGGCGGGCGCGCGGCGCGGGGCGCGGGGCGGCGGCGGCTGCGCGGGCCGCGCATGGGGCTGAGCAATTAGGCTGGTGAATAATGCATGGCCATTAGCGGAGGGCCGCGCCGATTGGCCGGGCTCCAGCGGACTCCGGCGGCCTATGCAAATGAGGCCGCGCTCGCAATTAGCGGCCGCGCCGACGAGGAGGGGGCCGCGGCGCCTCGGGACCGGGGCGCGCGCTGCCCGGCGCCGCCTCACATCGCGGGCTCCGGCGCCGCGCTCCTCGGCCGCCCCGGGTGCGGCTGTGGCGGGGCCCGGGTGCGGCGCGGGCCGCGGTGGCCGTCCCTCCGCAGGGCGCAGGCAGCAAACTTTGGCGGCGTCCGCGCGGCGCCGTCTCCGCCGGCGCGCCGGGCTCGCCCCTTTATAGAGTGTCTGCGCCGCCGCCCGCGCCCCCCCCGCCGCCGCCGCCGGGCGGCCCCTCCCGGAGCGAGCGGCCGCGGGCAGGGCTCCGACCCGGCGCCTTTGTCTCGCCCGGGCCGCTCGGGCGCCGCGCCTCCTGTTCCGGGCGCGCGGGGTCGGCCGGCCGCCTTCGCTGCTCCGCCGCGGCTCTCAGCGCCGCTCAGCGCGGCGGGCCCGCCCGGGCTCAGGTGCCCCCCGCTCTCCGGACCTTCTCGCCCGGCCCCGCGTCCCCTCCGCGGGCTTCCCCCGGCGGCCGGCCGGGCTCGGAGGCTCGCGGCCGGAGCGGAGCGGAGTGCGCACGCCGGGGTGGCAGGACTTCGGCAAGACCAACTTTCCGGTTCGGAAGCGGCGCGGGCCGCGCGGCTCCTCCCCTCCTCTCCCTCCCCTGCGTTCCCCCTCCCTTCCACTCCCCCCTCTCCCCGCCCCCCAACCCGCGGGCCCCACCGACTCCGGAGCGCCCGCCCCGCCCGCTGCTGCCACCGGGCCGCCTCGCCCCCGCGCCAGCCCGCCTGGGCCTCTGCGCCGCCGGCGGCTTCTTAAATACAGGAAAGGGAGGGGACCGCAGGGCCCCGGTGTTCCCCACCCTAGTCCCCCTTCACCACGGGCCACCGGGCGCCAGCGGAGTGGGCAGCGAGCGCGACCGAAAGTTCCAACTCCACCAAACTCCCGCGCGCGGCCCACCCTTTCCCGGGATTTCGGGGATGACACGGGGGCCAGGTGAGGGGGCTGCGCACTTCTGGATCGGCCCCACACACTCGGCCCCTGGCGCGGCGCGCTCCCCGCACACGCGCCCGCCCCCTCCCCGCGGTCACACGCACGCGCCCTCGCCCTCGCCCCGCGCGCACAGGCGCGTACTCCCACCCGCGGCCGTGCACCCGCCGCGCTCCTTCCCGCGCGTGTCCTCTCTCCCCGAGCGGCCGCCAGGATGTGCCCCCGGCCCCGTCGTCGCCGCGCCCGCGCCCCTCGCCCCAGTACGTCTTTTTTCGTTTCCTAAATTTCTTATTTTTGTCCTTGCAAGTGGTCCTGTCTGGTGTGAACCGTCAGCACAGATGGCCTCCTGGAGCTTCCCCGAGTCGTTCGCTGGGGGAAGCGGGCGGTGAGCGGCCAGCCCGGGCGCTCCGCAGGCCGCGAGCTCCCGGCAGGGCTGGTGGCGGGGGTCCGCCTGGGGGAGGAATCCCCGCCTGCTCCATCGGACCCGGCCTGGCGCGGCTCGCGGCGCTCGGCGGGCTCCCTTCCATTCTAGAATCTTCCCGCTTGCTTCCCAGCCCGCGTTCTTCCGCCTGCCTTTAATTGTGTAAGTTTGACGAAGTCAGAGCTTTGGGTTCCAGGAAAAGCGCAGGAGGGTCATAGAGGAAGGGAGGGCGCAGGTTGGAGTCAGGTCCAAACAGTCCCTATCGCCACTTTTGAAAAAAAAAAAAAACAACAAAAACCCTTAAGGTTGGTTTTATTTTGCCTTTTGGTAGCGGGCGTATTCATTTAGATTTTTTTTTCAAGACAGGCAAATAAAAGGTGTTTGAAATCTCTAGTTATCCCGTTTAACACACCCATCGATGGCGCTTTTCTAGTTAAGCTACGGGGGAAACGTCTTTATCCCGCAGTTAGGCTGCGAACTTGTGCAGATGCTCAGGCTTTGTGGAGACGCTCCGGCATCTGGCGCAGAGGCGCCCGGCGGGGAAAAGTTTGCAGCCCGGGCTTTGGGGCGCGCGGGGGGCAGGAATTTTTCTGAGAAGAGAGGGGCATAGAGAGGCGGCGCGGGTGGGGAGAGAAAAAAGGAACGCAGGGGGGAGGGGGAAAAGCAGCTTGCAGGATGGGAGTTTCTTGCAGAATTTACAGGATTAAGGAGTTTGGGGAAGTCGCAGAGCTGCAGCGGAAAGGCAGGGGTCTGAGACTACTTTTGAGAAGAGAAACAACGCAAAACGATCGCTGGAGGGCCAGAGCCCTGGTCGAAGGTGCCCTAGCTTTTATGACCTGGTTAATTGTGTCTCCTTTTTATTTTTATTTTTTTCCTTACCACTACTACTACTACTACTTTTATTTTTTTTTAACCGATACACTTTGGAGAGAAGAAGCAGACACAGGTTCCCACGGCGTCTGACGCCTGCGGAGCAAGTCCAGAGCCAGCTGGACTCGCAGCCTCTGGCCCGGCGGCACCAACTCCTCACTGGGTCATTTTGAGCGCGCTGTGCCCACCTTTTCTGTTGCGTAAGGCCCGCTCCCCCTGTCCCGCAACCCTCTCTCCAACAAACCGGCACGATGTCTTTAGGTCTTTCTGGGGCTTCCAAATGCAACTGTTTAATTTCATCGATCTGTTTTGCATTTCCTACAAGGTGTGGACGTGGGGAGGATCTTCTAAGTCCCTCCAACGAAGGCAAGTGTGAGACTCTGGCCCTTTATTTGTAAGAAGCAAGCCTTCAGATTGCAGAAGTGTCGCGCGGGTCGCCGTGCGTTGCGCGAGTGGGAAGATGGAGGAGGCCGGCACGCTGCTTTCGTGGACGCAAGTGAACCGGGCGTGAAGGCAGGGTGCGAGCTCTGCCCTTGGCCCAGCCCTGCGTGGGCGCCGTCCCAGATTCCGGGCGGTGCGGGGTGCAGAGATCTGGAGAGACTTGCGGGCTCCCCAGCGCAGGCTGCTCTGGGATTTCGTTGGAAGATCCGGCAGAGCCTTGGAGGAGAGGGCCCGGGAGGCTGTGTGTGCAGCGGAAACTTGTACGAATGCCCCCACAGCGGAAATGGTGCGCACGAGTAATTTCTGCGGTGCACCCTTTTAAAAATTGACAAGTGAACAAGATCAATTTTTTAAGAAAGCAAAGGTAGAAAACAAAAGGCGTGCGACTTCTTGACTGGCTTGTTCCCGCCTTTCTTCCTTCTCTATACTCAGATCAGAAACTTTTCTTTAATTGCTCTTATTCAGTGCGACAACTTTTAATAAAAGCATTTGCATTTTAAGCCTGAGTTGCAACCATAGATTTATTGCGAAGTGACAACGTGTCTATGGAATATTTTCGCAGATGAGACAGGACATGCGCTCTAGTCGTGCCCAGATTAAAGCGACGCTGGGCCATGTGCCTGTGTAGTGCAGACTCGGAGGGGCACACACATACTCGTCACCACATGACCACTGTCTATTAATATTGTCATACCTAAACACTCGCAAAAACAAAAGTTGCTTTTCTTCCCTGTAATTAAATCTAATTTGTTAATTGTCTTTCCTCTTGCAATGTTGTTTTCATCTTGAGGTGACACATTATTATTTTGTCTAATATTATTTACAAATTAATGCTGTATATTTTACATTAGTGAAACATATAATTAGGTGTTTGGTTCAATCGGTATCATTCAGATAAAACAAAGCCTATCTGCAAGATTGATTGGAAGTGGAGTAGTTGGTTCTAATTTACCATCACAGTCACAGTTTATTGAAGCTACCTGGCCCCAGATTCACAGAAGCTAGTTTTACCTAAGGTGCATTTGATGCTTTGTTTACAAGTGTTTATTTTCCCCAACCACTTAATGCAAAAAAAAAAAAACACCTTCAAATATTAGGGCTTTCATTTCATTTTCTGTCTTCTTTCATTCCTCCCCCCACCCAAAGTTCCTTTCTTCTATTCTCTGGCCACCTCTCTCCGTTTCCTCCCCTACCCCCAACTTTTGTTTTAGGTTCTTAGAGTTAAATTCAGCATGATTTGGTGCCTCTAATGCTGTGACAAGTGACTGCTAATTGGTTCTCACTTGAGCAAAGATATTACCATACTAATATTATTATTGGTAAGAAGAGGTAATTGATAACACCACCTGCCACTCTGGGGCAATCAGGATGATAAATGTTTCCATCAACAGGAAATCTGTGCTTGGTGTGCCACAGCCCAACGCAAACAGCATGTCAAGTGCCAATTATAAAGATGTTGCTTTTCTATTACATTGGGTGGGGGTGTAGGAAACATGTAGCCAAAAATTATATTTATGGTTTTTTGAAAACGCTTTTTCCAATCCTCTGTTTGCCTACTTGAAGATAACTTTCCCCGTAAAAATAAAATGCTCTAAGTAAATAAACCAGCACATAGCTAACTGCCCTGTCCACACTGGATACAACTGCTGTGACTTCCTTTGCTTTCAAAGCTATTGGAGATAAATATGCCTAAATATTTTTAACAGATGTGAGCCGGGTGTGGAGTGTATCAGTCCATTTTGGTTACGTGCTCCGCAGCCTTCCTGTGTGTTTATTCCAGGACGCTGTGTAGCTTCACCGTAGCCATCAGAGGCAAACATTCCGTGGCTTTTTATGGCATACACAGAAACATCAGCTCACAGTCGTCTTCGCACTGAGGGATGCAAACGATGGTGAAGTACTTCTCTCCTGATGGCTGAACTGTGGCTCGGGGCTGCATGTAGACCAGGAGGGACATTTCAGCATGTATGATTACATAAATAATGCTAGCAAGTTAAAACTTTGACTCCTTGCCTATAGGGAGGCCGAAACGATTATTATTAGCTTGCATTAATAGATGCAGGCCTCAAAAGGCGAAATCAGCTATTGATAATTGCAAGAAGTATACAGCAGCTACTGTATCGATCGGCTGGTCCCTTATTCCCCTGGTATGGGAGAGATAAGAAGACTCACTCTTTAGTGCAATATAATTTCTTTTGACCTATCTGCTTGCTACAGACTTATGATGAATAGCCAGAGTGGTTAAAGTCCTTTATCACGAAAGTTACCCCTTGATATAATATTGATTCTTTATAACTAGCTCCAAACACAAAAATCAAACTGTCCACTTGACCATCATCATCATCAATATCATCACAAAGCCCCTGGAATAAAGATCAGCGCCAGCCTGAAAACGCTTTCTATAATCTTCCCGGCTAATCTTTATTTGCTGATGATGAAAAGAAAAAGAGGGGGAGGGAGAGTGAGTGGAATGTCATTTGGACGAGCACTGTATTTATATGTGTACATACATTAGGTCAAGACAAGGCGGCCTCTCCCCATGAGGAGCCGCGGTCAGCGTGGTCATCCCCCGCAGCGCTCGGTCTCCGGACCCACCCCGGGAGGCCCAGGGGTTGGGGGAGAAACAAAAAGGGCTCCACGCACTGTCTCCCGTTAGAGACAGAGTGAGCCCACAGCCTCCTGCTCGTTGGAAGTGCCACGCGTCCTCGGCGCTCAAGCTGGCCCTGCGCTCCCGGGAGCGCCGGCGGAGAGGGGCGCACGCCGGGTGGGCTCGCCGGCGTGGAGGGGCCGGGCTGGCCCGGAGGCGCACATCAAAGGCCGCCCGTGCAATGCATGCGCGTTTCCCTCAATTAACGGCATTTCCTGCCCCCTCGCTTCCCTTCATCCGCCCCGCCCCCCCCGCGCCAGTCCGGGCTGCTTGAGCGCGGGGACGAGCCTTTTCCCGCGCGCCCGTCCGTGCGAGTGCGCGCGTGCGCGTGCGCGTGCGAAGGGTCCCAGGGGCGCTCCGGATTTGCCCAGGGGAGGCTGCGAGGGTCGCCGGGCCCCGAGGCCCCGTCGAGGCCGAGTTTCGGGCGCGTTTTGGGGAGAGCGAGGCTTAAGGGTGCGGCGGGTGGAACGCAGGGAGGACCCCAGTTTCTGTCTCCTCGAACGTTCCCTGTGTCCGCACCCACAGGCTTCGACTCTGGCCTTAAGGCGCGGCTGCCTGCGGGACCCCACGTGCAGGGAGGGGCGCCCGGGCACCCTCATTCCACACGCCCCGGCGCGGGCTGTTCCCACCGCATATCCGCGACCTCAGACGTCGCGCGCCAAATGGGGGCGGGGAGGTGACTGTGGAAAGAATGTGGCCACAGGCGCGGGGACGGCAGCACGGGGACCCCGCCCCCCAAGTTTCCTCATTAGCGAGGCCGCGAGGGTTGGGGGCGGACGGGGGACCCCCTGGCTCCGGGCTCCACTCCGACGGCAGGACGGGTCCTCGCTCCCCCCGCTCCCGTCGGTCCCGTCCCAGGGCGGTGCCAGGGCTCTGAGCGGGTCCCAGCGGGGCTCGGGCACCCTCGGGTGGGCGGCGTCAGGCCCGAGGCCCGTGTCCCGCTGGCTCCCGGCGGTGGGCTGTGTCCCCGCGGCGCCCTCTCGGGAGGAGGACTGGCCCCCGCCCCCGCCCAGGTCTCTAACCCCTCGGAGGTCACCGGGTCTGGCCCCGCCTCACCACGCGGGGGCCACTTGGATGGCCGCAGCCAGAGGACGGGCCTGGGCGAAACCCCACAGCTGATTTCAGAACCGCGTCTCTCGCCAAAGGCGTCCCGCGGGGGCTGAGCGGGGCGCAGACCCGAGGCCTCCTGGACGGCCCAGCCCCTCGCAGGTCCCCGCGGTCCTCTCTCGGCCTGCGGGGCGGGGACTGTGGAAGGGGAGCGCGCGCGGGGAGCTCCTGGCGTGAGAAATGCCGCGTCCATGTCTCCGCTCGCGGCCCCTCTGCGTCCGAGACAAACCCGCGTGGGGAGCCCCGTGCTCTGGCCGTGTGCGCGCCCGACGCGGGGACGCCCCCTGCGCACTTTTCCTGGCCGTAGAGCTCCCCGGCCCTGCACAACGAGTTCAAAGAAGTTTCAGAAAGCGGCACAACTTCGATGCTACCGTTTCCATCGTTCTTGGCTTTCTCATGATCACAAATGTCATTTGTCTTGGCTCCAAGCTCTGCAAAAGTGCAGGGCTGAATTCCGCAGGAGGCTGCGTTTGTGGGGAGGCGCTCACCACAAGGTCCTTGACCGCTGAGCAGGGGACAAAGAGGGCCGAGTGTGGGGGCGGGGGTGGCTCCCGCTCGCGTTCCGGGATGGGCGTCTTCTCTGTGACCGATTGCACTGAGCTGTTGGCCCACAGATCCCATTCGGGCTGTCCTGGCAGGTCAGGGACAGGAGAAGAAGTATAAGATTCAGATAGATTAGAATCAGTGCTGTCTCCAGCATGAAAGAGAGTAGAGTGATCATCTCATTCTCAAACTGGGCCATTCTCAAACTTAGCTAAATACTCAGCAGGTGTGTCCAGGGGCCACGTGCTGGCGCCCAGAGATGCCTGGCCTGGGCAAACCGGGGGCCAGGTGTGAGGCCTCCTCGTGACCTTGGCAGAACCAGGGCCAGCACTGCAGAGCCTGTGCCGCCCGACGATGTGACGGATCTGCGGGGGTTCCTGTGTCTCCTTTGTCCCCCAGGCCCGCCTCTGCTGAGTTTTGCTTGATAACACGTATTCTGTGCCTTGGAGTGTGGATGTCTGACTCATCAGCACTTTTCTGCTTGAAATCAGAAATGGAGGAATGAAAGGCACAGCGCCTCCAGGAAAGGACGGTGTCACAGGGGCCACAGGCAGGGGCCTTCGCTGATGGAGACGCATGGGCCCCAAAGAAACTGACTTTCTTGGAATCGCAAAGTCAAAACAAGGAATTAATTATAAAAGTTTCAACTCCTGGTTGGAAGGTGGATTTGCCTGAAGTCTGGAAATGATTGGATGCTGTGCAGGTGCACCCTGCTTTAAGAAAACCTAGTAAGTCAAAATTCACAAGCTAGGAAAGTTGAAGGGATCTTTCTTTGCTCGACCAAGGATTCTTCACGTTCAGGAGTGTTCACTGCAGCTGTCTCTTAAGTAGCCAGTTCTGCCATGTGTTGTAAAATTGGCTTGCTGCGTGCAGTGCGGTGTGCAGTGAGATGCCAGTACTGCCTTACTCAGCCCGGCTTGCCCACATGCCTGGACCTTGGGAGTGGTGTTTGGGGCCTTTCAGTGAGTCGCTGAAAGGCTGCAGTTGTGTTTTATTACAGTCATTCCTCTAGGAAGGGACAATCTGCCGTGACATGCCTGCTTGTTGATCTGGGCAGGCAGCAGGGACTGGACAGTGGTGGCATTAGGCCTCCCTTAAATAAAGGTGTCCTCAGAGGCTGGGGAGGAAAATGAGAGGCTGGAAAAGGGAGCCCCAGGCAGTGTGAGAAACGCGGAAGGCAGTAAAAGTATCCATGAGGGTCACGTGGCCATGTGGAACCCTGTGATGGAAAATAGGACAGAGGGGTCCCGTGAGGCTCTGAGACCACAGAGGGCAGAGGTGGAACGAAGGCTCCCAGACCGGCTTGGATGTGGAAGGAGAGTGGGAGAAGGCCAGGACCCTCGATGCTTGGGGACTGGGCAGTGGGCTTGCTCTGGGTGTTGCAGACAATGGGAGCCTTGGGGAAGAGGGGACCTCAGTGGAGCTGCCGGAGTAGTGTGGGGTTCCAGGTCAGCCCACTCAAAATTCTGTCTCAGAGGTGCTGAAGGCCTTAAGGAAGAGCTGAGACTTGAATGTGACACACCCAGACAATAAGACACACGTGATAGGAGAAAAATACCTCCACGGAGAAGCCCGAGACACGTCCTTCCCAGGCCTGGCAGGAAGTCAGTGCCTCTAGCACAGGCAGTCTTAGTGACCTTCTCCGTTACAAAAGCATCTCGGTATTTCCCAAAACACGACGATTCTGAGTGCTTGGTAAACAGACTTGCTAATGGGAACCGTCTATTTCTTGTGGCAAATTTCAGAAAGGGTCATACTTGCTCACATATTCAGGCCACCACGGCCACCTCCTGCTCTCCAGCAGGACCTCCTCTGTGGACTCTGAAGATCCCCGTCGCAGCCCATCGCCTGCCGCATAGCTCTGGCAGGTGTCATTGTCTGTGCCTCTCAAATACGTGTCACAACCAGCCTTTATGGACCCAGGTTAGGAGGCGCCGGCCCATGTCTTCTAAGCAGACGTCAGAGCCACTGGGGATGGGTGGCTTGGAGGGTGCCAGGTTGGGATGGGAGTGATTTGAGATCACATGTGTGCACACACACGTGTGGTACATATGTACATATGTATCATGTGGTACAGTACACCATGGAATACTATGCAGCCATAAAAAGAAAGAGATCATGTCCTTTGCAGGAACATGGATGGAGCTAGAGGTCATCATCCTTAGCAAACTAACACGGGAACAGAAAGCCAAATGCCACATGTTCTCACTTGTAAGTGGGAGGTAAATGATGAGGTCACATGGAATCAAAGAGGTTGGAGGAGGTGGGGAAGGAGAGGAGCAGGAAAGGTAACTATTGAGTACTCAGCTTAGTACCTGCGTGACTAAATAATCTGTATAACAAACCCCGGTGACACGAGTTTACCCACAAAACAAACCTGCGCACGTATTCCCTAAACCCAAAAAGGAAAAAAGAATACACTGCCCATCCATTGCATGCAAGCACCATGGTCCTTCCGCCCGGCCCATCTGCCAGTACTCCCTCCTGCTCCAGACGCTAGAGGACAGGACATTGGAGCTGCCCCTCATTTCCTCCGTGTCATATGGTATTGGCACATGTCTTCCTAAGTCAGATTATTTACCTGTGCTAAGGGCTTTACAATCCATACAATACCCAGCAAGGTACTTACTCAGTTTTCTTTTAGAGATGGGTCTCACTGTGTTGGTCAGGCTGGTCTCGAACTCCTGGCCTCGAGTGCTCCTTCTGCCTTGGTCTCCCAGAGTGCTGGGATTATGGATGTGAGTCACTGCACCCAGCCCCTGGGTACTTATTATTGTCCCCTTAGTAAGGATGAGGAAACTGAAGCCACAAGAGTTGGAATAGCTTGTCCGAGGCCACTTGGCTGTTGGGAAGACGTCTCTGTGCTGGAAGCCAGGGCGCAACCGGGTTAGGTGGCGTGTCTGGGCTCCCACAGGCCACACTCAGGCCTCTCCAAATGCCGAGCTCACTCTGCTGTCTCCAGCCTTCCAGGGACTGTTTTTGAGGAGGGTGCTTCCCCTTAAACAGGAATCCCCGCCTGGTCCTCAGAACCTTCTAGTTGTTTGTGCTAAATCAGAGAAGATGAAGCGTTTGAAGAGAGGAGTGGTGCAGAAATGATTTGCGTGGAGTTTGGGTGTGGCCAGCCCTCCAGGACACTGATGTATGCTGTGGGCTGGTGCAGCCCAGGGCACAGCAGTCAGTTCCATGGAGTCGTGGACAAGTGTGGGGAGAGGGGGCCGTTCTCAGGAAATGCTTCAACCAGTGGCACCGTCACGGCTGAGCAGTTCTGCCGCCCGGGCCACAGGCTGGCCATTGGGTTGGTTCGTTCTCCCAGATGTGATCAACACTTCACTCCGAAGTGTGCAAAGATCTCAATGTGCCACAGGGAATTCGCATGAATGTGAACGTGGCCACCTCATGCCGTCAGGCACATTTGTGTTCTGAAACTGTTAAGTGGGCCATTGTAGAGAATGGCCTCTGCACTGTGGAACGTGGCCCGGTGCTGAGACCGTGATGCGCCTGCGGCTTCAGCGTCCTCAGCGCCCTCTCCCCAACACCTCCCTGCAGCCCCTTCGTCCAGAGGAAGACAAGAGGGAGCACTCATGGTGGCCGCTTGCTTTTCTGTCAGTGAAATGAATGCAGAGTACTTTTCCTTAGACAGCGGGGAGAAATAGCAGCCTTTGATGGTCAACTTGTACTCCAGTATCACAAGGGTGTGGTATGCTGTTATAACAATGGCTTTGCCACAGCGATGATCAAAAATCAGTGAACGTTTTGCGTCTGTCTATAGAGAGGGGATAAGGAGAGGATTGATGGGCCTGCGTCATCTTTGCATGCCGTTTACCTTGAGTCTGTATAGAACCACCTGGGATTTCATGTCATACATGCTGCTTTTCTATTTTCTCTTTTATGAAGAGATGTGTGTGTATTTAAAACATCACTACGCGCATATACAGATTTTTAAAGTGTTCCTATTTTCTGGGGCAGGGTGCCGCCAAAGAGGGTTCTCACAGCAGGAGAGAGGCCTAAGCTCAGATGCAGGCTTGGGAAAACAGGTTACTTAGCTGCAGGTAGCAAAACCAGACCACCCCGCAGGATCATGAAGAGAGTTTATTAAAAGGATCAGGACAGGAGCAAGATTAGGCGTTCTAGAAACTACAGACTCCTGTGATTAGAAGGGTAGAGAGAGTGCAGCAACATCAAACAGGACTTCCTGGAGATGCTGGACGAGGAGTCCTAGACGCCAGGTAGAGGAGGGCCGTGGATAACGAGAAGACTGGGAAGCAGGCTCAGGAGGGTGTGGGAGGGCACCCTGACTTGTTTCCAGAGAGATCTGGTGCTGGTGGGTTCAGCAGCCAAGAGAGACAGGGTTGAAAACAAGATTCAGGGTGTTGGTACCCCGTCTCGGGGCGCCAGCCCAGCCCAGCCCATTTCTCTAAGTTGCCATGGGGTGGAGTGAATGTGCTGTCATCTCTTCCATTCCTTGAGTATTTTATATCTTTCCTCTGTTTGTTAATAAGGTTCTTCTATTCCTTGAGTCATGTATTTTATATCTTTCCTCTGTTTGTTAATAAGGTTCTTCCATTCCTTGAATTATGTATTTTATATCTTTCCTCTGTCTGTTAATAAGGTTCTTTGAAAAGTCTGAACACAATGTTCCTATCTAGTCATATGATTATGGGTGTCTTCTGCAATTTCAGGTTGTAGCTTATTAAATACACCTGCAGGTTTCAAGAAGTAAGGTAGACTCGTATACCATGACCATGTTTTCTAAAAATAGGAATGACTTAAGAAGAAACATTTTATGACATAAATACATTTTAAAGTACCATTAAAAATAGCAGAAGGTGAATATGCTTTAGTAACATAATATTATTTGGTAGAAGAATACTCTGAAAACATTCCCAAGAGACCTGCTGTTAATAGATGTGTCCTCCCAGGAAAAGCTGGCCGGTGGTAGAGATGAACGACTGTGGAAATGGAAGCAACCCATTTTTTGCTTTTCTGTTTTCAGTTGAGGTGAAATTCACAACGCATAAAGTTAACCATGGTAAGGGGAACAATTTCATAGCATTTGTGCATTCACAGTAGCAAACACCACTCCTATCTGGTTTCAAATTGTTTCATCTTCCCCCCAACAAAAAAAAAACACAACTGCCCACAGCAGTGACTCAGTACTCCCTCACCCCCATCGCAGAAGCCATACATCTACTTTCTATCTCAACCACGGACTGTTTTATTTTTTTTGCCTTTTGAAATATGTTTTATTGATCAGCTATTTCTTTGATAATGTGCTGTAAAAGAAAACTCTCCAAATCCCAGGGGTGATGACGATGACCATGGATGTTCCTGCCCCATGACTGTGGGTCAGCCCAGCATCGCTTGGAAGTGGAGATGTAATAATTATGCATATTTCTGGGGTATGAGGCTTTTAGATCTGTGCATACGATGGATAATGATCAAATCAGAATAGTTGGGATATCTCAAACAACAATTATTTCTTTGCCAACCAGTGGTTTTTAGCTGGAAGATTTTGAGGAACCCGTTTGGGTGATTTTCAGGTTGACCTGCCTAGATCATGTGACTTAGATATACCCTTGGTGCCATCTCCATATGACAGCATTCTATAAAAACCATTCAAACCGGTGATGGAAAGGAGACCCGGGGCGGATCCCGGTTCTGTCTTGCCATCAGCTGTCTGATGGTTACTGGGTCCATCCGCAGCCTCTTGGTTCCTGTTCATGAAAGAGTTTGCGACCTGGGATCAGTGACCCCCAAAATATATTCCTATGTTTATAGGTGCATGTGTGGTTTCTGAGTTTTTGGAGATTCGTAAGCTTTCATCATAACCCATAATGTAGGACGTAGGTCTGCTCAGTTTATTTTTTATTTTTGTAATAATGTTTTTTGAGGAAATTGCTGAAGATGATAAATTATTTGCATGATGAAGCTTAAAATATAATCTAACTGCTTTGAAGAGCAGGTCATGGTGGTCAACTCACCATGGAAACCCTAACGCTTGGGCAGAGGAGGTGTTCCTCCAAGTGTGGGCTCCTCAAGTCCCTTGAAAGAAGTGTTTTATGGTCACAGAAATTTGAGAAGTCTTGCCTGCTGTACAACCCTCTGGGATTCTTGACATGAAAGTGTATTAAAGGCCCTGGCACTTCCTACAGTGAAGAAACCTCTGGTCAGTGTAATTCAGCCTTTTCCAAGGATACTTCACCAGAAAAAAGTTTTCAGGCAGCTTCTGTTTTTAGCATGTGAGTGTGATTGGTTGAGCTGCGGGGAACTCCGGGTAGGGACAGTTTCTGTTGTAATGGGAAGAGCTCCTTGGGCTTCTCAATGGGAAACCCCCTCACCTGCAGCCAGACTCCTGTGTTAGGGCAGCCATTGCCGTGCTGACCTCCAGAGAGCCCTGGGGCAGGCTTCTTGCCACCAGCACCCTGCGTTCGGGGCAGGTCATTCTTCATGGTGGGGTTGCCCTGTACATGAGGGTGTTCACAGCACAGGGTGTTCTGTGTGCCCTGTACATGAGGGTGTTCACGGCACCACTGGCTTTTGCGCACTGGATGCCAGGGCACCCCTTGGTGGGGGAGGGGGAATCACCTGCCCCAGGCTGTGGCTCTGGTGTGAGCAGATGGCTGAGCTGTGCTTTTGGAAGAGATAGACTCAGGCCACACCAGGGGCGTCAGGTGGAGAATTCCCTGGTCAGCAATGGGTGGGGGCTTCGAGTCAGGGGGAGGGAGAGAGAGGTCTTAGAGAGGAGGGTGGAAGAGAAATCGGCAGGGCAACCCATGCTACCCAGCTTCCTGGGGTGGGCAAGACAGTCTCGAGGAGCCTCCGTGGCGCTGGGCCGACCTGGAAGGAACCAGGCTAGCACCAGGTCAAGAGAGGGGAAACTTGTAAAGAAACAGGGGGTGGGTGGGAGGGCAGTCACCAGGGCGAGGCCTCCAGGGGTGCCTGGCCTGGGCTTGGGCTGGGGCAGTGGGGTGGGTGTCAGATGTGTGTGTCTTCTTCTATGGCGGCGTCCCTGCCCAGAGGGGCGTGACCCTTAGGCCCCACATGCTGCCCTCCTAGAGACTAAGAGAGGAAGAGAGAAGGAAGTGGAAGGCATGGAGTTCGCTCACTGAGTATGTTAGGAAACATACATTTTAAATTAACCCACTCTGCAATCCAGAACTACATAGATGTCAGGAGACGTACATTTTAAGTTAACCCACTCTACAATCCAGAACTAGGTAGAAGGTAGAGCAAACAGGAATTGATGATGGATTGTGCATGTGAGTGTTTGTTGAGGGAGACAAACATTTTATTTTTTAATGAAGAGAAGCTGTGGTTGAAGAGTTGTGACTCCTTCGAGTGGAGAGAAACCCTTCAGCTGTGTGGCTTTCAGACGGTTTGAGAAGCAGACAGTGCGGGGGTGTGTCTGCAGCATGGTGGGAGGGCAGGGGGATGAAGGCTGGCCCGGAGCTTTTGATCTGCGCCACGTGGGAGAACGGAACACGGGAGGTCACGTGGAGGGGACACTGGAGGGCCTCAGTCGGGGTTGGGCCAGTGAGCGGCGGAGACTCGGCTAGGGACAGCTGGATCTGAGAGGTCGTGGGAGTGCGAGAGGAGAGGGAGCGGGTTGGTCCCAGGCAGGGGGTGGGCGGGAGCAGAGGGACGGGACCTGGCCTCGGAATCTGGGAGTGGAGGAGCTGAGCCTGGAGCCAGGTGGAGGGGCCGCCTGGGTGCCACCGATGGCTCCCAGAGAAGGCGGCGCTGGTGCAGGCCGGGTGGGGGGGCAGCCTGGGTCCCACCGACGGCTCCGGAGAAGGCAGTGCTGGTGCAGGCCGGGTGGAGGGGCAGCCTGGATCCCACCGACGGCTCCGGAGAAGGCGGCGCTGGTGCAGGCTGGGTGGAGGGGCAGCCTGGATCCCACCGACGGCTCCGGAGAAGGCGGCGCTGGTGCAGGCCGGGTGGAGGGGCAGCCTGGGTGCCACCGACGGCTCCGGAGAAGGCGGCGCTGGTGCAGGCCGGGTGGAGGGGCAGCCTGGGTGCCACCGACGGCTCCCAGAGAAGGCAGTGCTGGTGCAGGCCGGGTGGAGGGGCAGCCTGGGTCCCACCGACGGCTCCGGAGAAGGCGGCGCTGGTGCAGCCTGCAGGTCGGCCATGTCAGGATGTGGGCGCTGACTTGCGGGCTCTGGACAGGGCAGGCCTTTCCCTTTTTTTTGCTCCCCAGGAGCCACTCCTGTGGCTGGTGTGGACTATGGGTCCTGGGAAGTGACCGTCCTCCAGTGAAAGGGGTGGTGGAGCCTTCATTTAAACTAAGCTCCCCCACCTTTTTTTTAAATTAAAAAAAACTTTTAAACTTTTTACCCTACCATCAACTTGACTTCAATGAGCTTTCCCCTTTATAAGAATTTGATCAAGCCTCTCTGTGTAAGAATGTATTTCTTAGTTCTAGAATTATATAACCGTTTTTACAGTTACCTCTTTAATTACATATTTGATCAAACATTAATGTTTTCACCAGTCCCAGAATATATGTGTGTTTTTGAAGGCAAAAGTACCAAATGCTCTGTTTTTGTAGATGACTTAAACATTTTTGTAAATGAAAAACAGCAATGAGAGGAAAGCTAACAGGCACTTCCAGTCTGTGGTGATCTGGAATGAACACACATGCACCTAAGCCCAAACCGTGAATTCTTAAAATCGATTTTTGTTATGATGGTCACAGACTTTTCAAGTTATTAAAAATTATAATGCTTTTAGAAAATGTGCACTCATTTGAAAAATTAGTTTCAAGGAACAGACTTAAAACTATCATGGCAAGAATAATAACAGCAAAACCTTTGTTAAAGGACATTATCTCTTTGTCATTAAAGTCTAAATAGAACTTTGTGTTTTCTCTGAAACTCATTTTAATGTTGCAGTATAATGGTGATTCAACTCAGCATTTTGTTGTTCCAAGAACTAAATATAAGACTCATAGAAGCGATTATTAAGGGAGTGATTATATTTCAAAAGGAAACTGCTTGATGAAATGATTGAACTATAGTGACAGATGACAAATCATTGCCTAATACTGTGGTTTCAACGTGTCCCCAAGTTCATGTGTTGAAAACTTAATTGTAACAGTATTAAAAGGTGGACCCTTTCAGAGGTGATTAGGCAGTGAGGACTCCTCCGTCGTGAATGGATTAACGCCATTATAGGGAGAGGTCTAGTGACTGTGGGCGTGGGCTCTGGATACAGGATAAGTTTGGCCCCCGTTTTCTCTCTGGGTCGTGTGCTCTCACCATGCAATGCTGCCCACCATGGGATGATCCTCACCAGGTGCCACGCGGCCTCTTGGACTTCCCAGCCTCCAGAACCATGAGCCAAAGGAGCTTCTTTTCCGTATAAATTACCCAATCTGTCTGGTCTGTTATAGCAGCAGAAAGCAGACTAAGAAGCCTAATTAACACAACAGAGTGTGAGTGTGTGAGTGTGAGCATGTGTGTATGAGTATAAGTGAATGTGTGTGAGCATGTGAGAGGATACGTGACTGTGAGTGTGAGCATGTGTGTGAGCATATGTGTGAGTATGTGTGTGAATGTGAGCATATATGTGAATGTGTGAGTATATGAGTGTGAGTATGTCTGTGTGAGCATATGTGTGTATGTGAGTGTGTGTGTGAGCATTGTGAGTCTGTATATCTGTGTGAGTATATGAGTCTGAGTGTGAGTACGTGTTAATGTGTGAGTGTATGTTACTGTGAGTGTTAGCATGTGAGTGTATGAGTGTGAGCATTTGTGAGTATATGTGTGTGTCAGGATGTGAGTGTATGAGTGTGTATGAGCATGCATGAGTGTGAGTGAAAGCATGTATATGTGTGAGCATGTGTGTATGTAAATGTGTGTGAGCATGTGTTTGAGTATATGTGTGTGAGCATGCGTGTGGGTGTATAATTGTGTGTCAATGTGTGTATTTGTGAGTGTGAATATATAAGTGAATGTGTGTGAGCATGTATGTGAGCGGGGATATGTGAAAAATATGAGTGTGAGCATGTGTGTGTTTGAGTATGAGTATATATGTGTGTGAGTATATGTGTGTGTGATGTGAACGTGTATGTGTGTGAGCATTGTGTGAGTGTATGAGAGTGCACATGTGTATCTGTGAATATGAGTGTGTGAGCATGCGTGTATGCGAGAGTGGGTGCGTGAGCATGTGTGAGCATGCGTGTGAATGTGTGAGCATGTATGTGAACGTGTGTGAGCATATGAATGTGTCTGAGCATGTGTGTGTATGATTGTGTGTGTGAATATATAAGTGAATGAGTGTGAGCATGTGTGTGAGCATGTGTGTATTAGTATGAGTGTGAGCAGGTGTGTGAGCATGTTTGTGTGACTGTGAGTATATGTATGTGAATATGTGTGTGTCAGTGTCAGTGCATGTGTGTGAATGTGAATGTGTATATGAGTGTATTTGAGTATGAATGCATGTGAGTATATGTGAGTTTGTTAGTGTGAGTGTGAGCATGTGTGAGTGTATGAGTATGTGTGTGAGATGAGTGTGAGAGTATATGTGTGAGCATGTTTGACTATGTGGGTGTGAGCACGTGTGTGGGTGTATGATTGTGAATATGAGCCTGTGTGTATTTGTGTGTGTGTAAATATATCTGAATGTGTGAGTGTGAGCATGTGTGTGTATGGGTGTGTGGGCATGTGTGAGTGAGCATGTGAGCATGATTGTATGTGACCACGTGTATATGTGTATGAGCATGTGTGTGAGCATGTGTGTATGAGATTGTGTGTGAGCATGTATGTGTGAGCGTGTGTGTGAGCATGTGTGAGCATATGCACGTGAGTGTATGAGTGTGAGCGTTTGAGTGTATGTGTGAGTATGTGTGACAGCATATGCGTGTATGTGAGCATGTGTTAGCATGTGTGTGTACGTGTGAGTGTGTGTGAGCATGTGTGTGTATATGAGTGAGAGTATGTATGTGAGCATGCGTGTGTGAGTACGTGTGTGAACATGTGTGTGTGAATGTGTCAGTGTGGGCATGTGTGTGAGTGTATATGAGAGTGTGTGAGCATACACGTGTGAGTGTATATAAGTGTGTGTCGATGTGTGAGTGTGGGCGTGTGTGAGTACATATGAGTGAGAGTGTGTGAGCGTGTGTGTGTGAGCATGAGTGTGTGTGAGTGTGTGAATGTGTGTGGGGAAATGTGAAGGTGTGTGGGAATCTTGAAGATCAAGAATCAAATAAGATAAATATTTCCGAAGTTGTAATAAAGCTGCTCAATGGAAAAACCTGATTTAATTTACAAACATTCATCCCACACACTTCAGGAACAACTATTAAAGGAACTCAAGTGTACCCGGATTGCCTTTAACTTATGAATAATCAAACATTTGGGAGGAAAAGAGAAAGTACATTCCTAATATTATTTGATATAAAAGTACCCGCTGTCTAAATACTAGAATCAGGTTACTCAATGTTGCATGTAGAAGAATATCAATTTAAACTATCAATTTTCTTCCATATAATTCACCCAAATTATATTAAACTGAAATTTTAAAAAATCCTTGTAACATTGAGTAGCATCAAGGTTTGGGGCAACCTTGAATCAAACAAATCTATGGGTGTCATTTTTCCAACAGCATGTGCTCACTCTGTGTCTCTGTGTCACATTTTGGTAATTCTCCCAATATTCCAAACATTTTCATTACTTATGATATATGGTGATCTGTGATCAGGGATCTGTGATGTTATTTACTATTGTAAATAGTAAATAGTTTGTGGGGCACCACAAACTGTGCCCGCATGAGACAGCAAACTTGCTGGATAAATGCTGGATGTGTTCTGACTGCTCCACCAGCCAGCCCTTCCTCCATCCCTCTCCCTCTCCTTGGGCCTCTCTATTTTCGGAGACATAAGAACATTGAAATTAGGCCAATTCGTAACCCTACAATGGCCTCCAAGTATTCGAGGGAAAGGAAGAATTGCAGGTCTTTCACTTTAGCCCAAAAGCTAGCAATGATTAAGCTTAGTGAGGAAGGCATATGAAAAGCTGGCATAGGCCAAGAGCGAGGCCTCTTGCACCGAACAGTTAGTCGAGTTGTGGATGCCAAGGACAAGTTCGTGAAGGAAACTGAAATTGAGACTCCAGTGAACCACAAGAAAGCACACAGTCCTACTGCTGAGAAGGAGAAAGTCTGAGCAGTCTGGACAGAAGATCAAACCAGTCACAATATTCCCTTCAAACAAAGCCTAATCCAGAGCAAGGCCCTAACTCTCTTCAATTCTGTGAAGGCCGAGAGAGGTGAGGAAGCTGCAGAAGAAAAGCTAGAAACCAGCAGAGGTTGGTTCATGAGGTTTAGGGGAAGAAGCCATCTCCGTAACATAAAAAGTGCAAGGTGAAGCAGCAAATGCTGATGGAGAAGCTGCAGCAAGTTCCCCAGGAGATCTGACTGAGACCATCGACGAAGGTGGCCACACTAAACAACAGATTTTCAATGTAGACCAAGAGCTTTCTATTGGAAGAAGATGCCATCTAGGACTTTCCTAGCTAGTAAGCAGTCAATGTCTGGCTTCAAAGCTTCAAAGGACGGGCTGACTCTCTTGTTCAGGGATAATGCAGCTGGTGACTTTAAGTTGAAGCCAGTGCTCATTTGCTATTTTGAAAATCCTAGGGCCCTTAAGAATGATGCTAAATCTCCTCTGCCTGTGCTCTAGAAATGCAACAACAAAGTCTGGATGACAGCACGTCTGTTTACAACATGGTTTACTGAATATTTTAAGCCCGCACTTAAGACCTACTGCTATTGCTCAGAAAAAAAGATTCTTTTCAAAATATTCCTGCTCATTGACAATGCACCTGGTCACCCAAGAGCTCTGACAGAGACACACAAAGAGATGAATGCTGTTTCCATGCCTGCTAACACAGCCTGCAGTCAGCAGTCTAAATTACAAGGAGTAATAAGACTTTCAAGTCTTATTTAAGAAATATTCTTTGGAAGGCTAGAGTTGCTCTGGACAGTGATTCCTCTGATGGATATAAGGAAAAGTAAATTGAAAACCTCTGGAAAGGCTTCCCCATTCTTGATGCCATTAAGAACATCCGGGATTCATGGGAGGAGGTCAAAATATCAACATGAACAGGAGTTTGGAGGATGTTGATTCCAATGCCCATGGGTTCAAGACCTCAGCGGAGGAAGGAGCTGCAGGTGTGGTGGAAATAGCGAGAGAATTAGGAGTGGAGCCTGAAGATGACTGAACTGCGGCAACTTCAGGATGAAACTCATACAGATGAGGAGTTGCTTCTTACGGATGAGCAAAGAAAGTAGTTTCTTGAAATGGAATCCGCTCCTGGAGAAGATGCTGCGAACGTCGTGGAAATGGCAACAAAGGATTCAGAATGTTACGTCAACTTAGTTGATAAAGCCGTGGCAGGATCTGAGAGACGGACTCCAATTTTAAAGGAAGTTCTACTGTGGGTAAAATGCTATCGAACAGCGTTGCATGCTACAGAGAAACCTTTCACAAAAGGAAGGGCCCCATTGATTGATGGGGCAAACTTCACTGTTGTCTTATTTTAAGAAATCATCAAGACCACCCCAACCTTCAATAACAGCCACGCCCATCAGTCAGCAGCTGTGAACATCGAGGCAAGACCCACCAGGGAGAAGATGACGATCCACTGATGGCTCAGAGGATCCTTAGCATTTTTTTTTTTTTTTTTAGCAATAAAGTATTTGTTTTAATAATCCACTGACGGCTCAGAGGATCCTTAGAATTTTGTTTTTTTTTTTAGCAATAAAGTATTTGTTTTAAAATTAATGTATGCACTTTTTTTTAGACACAATGCTGTTGCACACTTAATGGACTCAATGTACCATGAACATCACTTTTATATGCACTGGAAACCAAAAAACTAGTGGGACGTACTTTATTGTGATGTTCACTTTATTGTGGTGGAGCTGAACCCACAACGTCTGTGGGATGTGGCTGCATAAACCTCTGTCATTGTCTGAGGGAAGAAGTTCAGGACCTCTCTTAGTTGTTTTACTGACCATTGTTTCTGCAGTTTGTTGGCCTGGAGGAGAAAACGCGAGGTGTTATGGAAAATTAGATATTATCAATTTAATAATTTCTATCATATGTGAACACTGTTAAAACGTTGCAGTTTGTATCATTTCTGTAAAACATCAGTTGAAATTCTTCTACAGCTCCAGCATGACTCATTGAATAATATCAAAGGAGGAATGTGCTCTCTATATGCTTGCAAGAAATAAAATGTATGCAATTAGGATGTTTTATAGGCTATCTCTGTAGACCACTGATGTCTGAAAAAAATTTTGACTAGTTAATAAGCAGTGTACACCTATTGATAGACCTTTATTGAGTCAACTTTTCCCTTTCCTATCATGTGATATACAAATACTATTTTCTAGCAGTGTTTTTAGTTCCAAATTAAGTGGAGTTACGATGAATAAAAATTAAGACTCGATAGTGTGAAACCATGTCATTTTATTGTCAGAGTAAGCTATATGTTTTCCCATCTATATTTCAACCTGAAATTCATTTTCCTGGTTGAAAAGTAAGATCCAGGTTGTTTAAACTTTTTCTGAGCTATTGTGTTCTTAGTTCAATGTACAACATTTTCATTTAATATTACAGACAAAAGCACTTTAAGCTGTGGGGGCTAACTCCCTCAGCATTTGAAATAAGTCCCCATGGTCATTAGTGATTAAGTGGCATGCAGGAAACAGTAAACTTCAGCGAAGGCCACACTCACGGAACTAAGGCAGTGGGGTGGGGTGAATTCAGAATCACACGTCCAAAGCAGCTGGTCATTCATGCTTGCAGAAATACACCAAACAAACAAATATAAATACTCATTTGGGTATGGGTGGGGCAGGAGAAGACTCGAAAAACTAAAAACAAAAGGCAAGAATGGGTGAAAATGAAATGACAATAAACTAAAATTGGCACATGGTCTTTTTGACAAACACGTAGCTCTAACTTACCAGCATCTCTTTTTAGTTGGTCTGGCTGCTTTTTAATGGCACTGATACTTTTTAAAAAGGGCCAATTTGGCATGTTTTTATGAAAAGCAAATTTCATTGACTAATATTTTCTGCAGGGTTTAGGCCCTTGTAATTCACTTCTTGATTTTGATTTCTTTAATCTTTGCACCTTTGAAAGGCAAGTGTATTAGTCCATTTTCACACTGCTATAAATAAATACTTGAGACTAGGTAATTTAGAAAGGAAAGAAGTTTAATTGACTCACAGTCCGAATGGCTAGGAAGGCCTCAGGAAACTTACAGTCATGGTGAAAGGGGAAGAGGCACGTCTTACATGGTGGTAGGTGAGAGGGCACGAGCAAGAGCAGGAAAAACTGCCTGATAAAACCATCAGATCTCCAGAGAACTCACTCATTATCAGGAGAACAGCATGGAGGAAACCTCCCCGTGATCCAATCACCTCCCACGTGGCCCCTCCCTAAACTTCCCTGTGATCCAATCGCCTCCCACGTGTCCCCTCCCTAAACCTCCCCATGATCCAATCACCTCCCACGTGGCCCCTCCCTAAACCTCCCCGTGATCCAATCACCTCCCATGTGGCCCCCCCAAGCCTCCCGGTGATCCAACCGCCTCCCACGTGTCCCCTCCCTAAACCTCCCCCTGATCAAATCACTTCCCATGTGGCCCCTCCCTAAGCCGCCCCGTGATCCAATCGCCTCCCACGTGTCCCCTCCCTAAACCTCCTCATGATCCAATCACCTCCCATGTGGCCCCTCCCTAAACCTCCCCGTGATCCAATCACGTCCCATGTGGCCCTCCCTAAGCCTCCCCATGATCCAATCGTCTCCCATGTGGCCCCTCCCTAAACCTCCCCATGATCCAATCACCTCCCACGTGGCCCCTCCCCTAACGTGGGGATTATGGGGATTACAATTGGAGATGAGTTTTGAGTGGGGAACACAGAGCCAAACCATATCAGCAAGTAATTAGATTTTTACATATGAGAAGTTGGTAGATGAGGCAGAGGAATGAAGAATTGTAAATTGACTTATACCCCAACAGACCCTTATCCCAATCCTCACTTTCCAGAGCAATGCTATGTAATATATTTTCAAAAAGTTAGATCATGCCTACATGTGTAAAGGAAAATTGAAATATGATACAGCTGTTTTTATGATCGAGGCACACATCTCATATTTATCTGAAAAGTAAAAACGGCAAATTTATTTTGCTTGAATTTTGTACTTTATTAATTGATTGATTTTGCTTATACTGTGGTTTCATGTTTGTAAATCAGTTAGCTGAAAAACTTAAATATAGAATTTATAACATACATATTATGTAAATTATGTAATATAAAAACATGCTTTTTGGATGCTCTTTGCATTTTTGTGTTTAATTAAGAACAAGGCTGGCCAGGTGCGGCAGCTCACGCCTGTAATCCCAGCACTTTGGGAGGCTGAGGCCGGCGGATCACGAGGTCAGGAGATCCAGACTGTCCTGGCTAACACGATGAAACCCCGTCTGTACTAAAAATACAAAAAATTAGCCTGGCATGGTGGCGGGCACCTGTAGTCCCAGCTACTCGGGAGGCTGAGGCAGGAGAATGGTGTGAACCTGGGAGGCGGAGCTTGCAGTGAGCCCAGATTGCGTCACTGTTCTCCAGCCTGGGCGACAGAGTGAGACTCCATCTCAAAAACAAAAACAAAAACAAAAACAAAAAAAACAAGGCTATCCAAAAAAATGGCATATTTGGGTAATTTAAAAATAACTGGAGAGCTCACTAATTACTGGGCCTGTGCTGGGCCCTTCCAGGTAAATCTCGTTCTCATCGTTACCTGTTAGCTGTGCCCAGTGCACCTACGTGCTGCCAGGGCCATCTGAACACGATTCCAAATTCCAGCTCCTTGCTGAGAACTGTTATTAAATTCGTATTGGAATTAGTTAGAATTCTTTTCCTCCTAGTCACGTGGCATTGGGTTTTACAAAGACTATAAACACAGACATGTTAGCTACTCTTACTCCACGTAAAACACATATGTTGGTCATATCAAGGCAGAGAGATAATTTAGTTGCTATTATTTTGTCACAATGCATCAATTTCAAAGAGAATTAACATACTATCACGTTGAGATGTGTTGAAATTCACCACATCTCAAATGCATTTGTGTTGAAAATCAGCCAGCGGGTTTTCTGGCCTCTGCCTTTGCTGCTGGACTTGTATCTTTGACAGAGCTTTTCTGCTACTTTTCTCTTACTCTCTTCTCTCATCTAAGGCTCTACTTAGTATTTTTAGGATGTTGTCATTAATCAACTGTCTTTAGGTGTAATTTCAGCATTAAACGTTAAAGGCTCTGTGATGCGTTGCTGTGTTTTCGAGCGAGCGAGGGAACAGCCTCAGCCCTCGAGTGGCCCAGCCTCATCTAGACCGGCCTTAGGGGACTCTTCCGGGAGCTCACTTTCTGGATTTGCCTAAAATCGAAATGCACGTTGAATTCTCATTATAGAACCATCCAGCACTCACCACTCCTGCCTTTTCCATGAGCGTGTCCCGCGAGCTTGCCGTCCAGGGAACGTCTAGACCTCAGTGAGGTGGCTCTGGGCGAAGGCATGGTCTCCGAATGATTCCAGGAGGACAGGCCGCACGGAAATACAGGCCGCCTGGGCAGGAAGGGAGGCGTGAGGGTTTCACGTCATAAATTCCCTGAGAACTAACGGGTCTCGGGCTAAGTTTTCTTTTTTCTCTTCCCTGTGGTGTACTTCTCTGGGGGAGATGGTGTGTTGAAATGCTGAGAGCAGGATATGGTTTATGCACGGGAGTGCCTTGCTTTCCGTCAGTGCCTCCCGGCACGCCTGGCTGCCCCTGGTAATGTGTGGTGGGCACAACGAGGCTCTCCTGGCCTGCAGAAGTGGCCTGTGGAGGGATATAGGTGTACGCTGTGGGACAGGCTGTGTGTGTCGCGCTGCAAGGACAGTCCCCATCATGTGTGCGGTGTGGCTGCTGGGAACCCCGAGAGACAGAAACCACAGGCTGCTCCCCTGCCTGGTGGAGCTAGCAGAAATTTTGGGAGAAAATGCCCATTTGGTAAAAAAATCCCCGGAAGCAGCAAGCAATTATGTTTTTTAAAAACATCTATTCAGCCGGGTGTGGTGGCTCATGCCTATAACCCCAGCAGTTTGGAAGGCTGAGGTGGGAGGATTGCTTGCGGCCAGGAGTCTGAGACCAGCTTGGACAATGTAGTAAGACTCTGCTTCTACAAAAAACAATAAAAATAAAAGTGGTGGGTGTGATGACACACACCTGTCGTCCCAGGCATTTGGGAGGCTGAGGTGGGAGGATCGCTTAAGCCCAGGAGTTGGAGGCTGCAGTGAGCTATGACTGCACCACTGCAGTCCAGCCTGGGCGGCACAGGAAGACTCTGTCTTAAAAATAAATAAATAAAAACACATTTTAATTTCAAACTTTTTCTTTTCCTTGCAAGCTTAAAAAGCTTACGTATGTAGTATTATCTCCCTGGATATAAACTCTGGAATATGGATAGAATAACTAGTTGTGACTTTTAATTATTACTACAGTTTCGACATCAACTGTTTGGTCTCATCTTATTTCACAATAGTAAAGAGTTTTTTATTTTGGCCAGGCACGGTGGCTCATGCCTGTAATCCCAGCACTTTGGGAGGCCGAGGTGGGCAGATCACTTGAGGTCAGGAGTTTGAGATCAGCCTGACCAACATGGAGAAACCCCGTCTCTACTAAAAATACAAAAGTTAGCTGGGTGTGGTGGCGGGCACCTGTAATCCCAGCTACTCGGGAGGCTGAGGCAGGAGAATCACTTGAACCTGGGAGGCAGAGGTTGCAGTGAGCCGAGATCGCACCACTGCATTCTAGCCTGGGCGACAGAGTTAGACTCTGTCTGAAAAAAAAAAAAAAAAAAAAAAAAAGAGTTTTTAATTTTAATGCAAAAAGTCAAGATTTATGTGTTAGCGATTACTACCTGGCTGCAAGAACTCTGGGGCACCTTTCTTATTCAGCCAAGGTCCTCTGTGCTGTGTGGGCCTGTGTCCTGCAAGTGAGAACAATATGAAATGCTGTGGAAGGATCCGCGGTGGGAAATTAGGAATGACATGCTTAAGATAAAGGAGTGCAGCCACTGGAACCGTGTCTGATGAAGACTTAGAGTGATCGTGAAGCCCCACGCACTGCTTATCCACCCTGCCACTCCGCCACTGCGAGCCAACGGTGGTGTAATCATTTATTTGGAAACTGCAGCTTGGTACAGTGAGAAAGAGCCTCGGGCAGGACTGTGACAGGCACGGCAGACAGAGAGGAAGGCGAGGACCGGATCTGCTTCTCCCGAAGGGCACAGCCACTGGCAGTAACCAGGCAGCAGCAAGTGTGGTTGTCGAGTTGCTTCTCTGCTGGGCTCACGCGGATCCTGTTTGGTTTTTATGAGTTGAGTTATTTGAACGTACTACAGGTGATTTTTTTTTTTTTTTTGAGAGAGTCTCTCTCTGTCGCCCAGGCTGGAGTGCAGTGGTGTGATCTCGGCTCACCGCAACCTCCACCTTCTGGGTTCAAGCGATTCTCCTGCCTCAGCCTCCCAAGTAGCTGGGATTACAGGTGCCCGCCACCAAGCCAGGCTAATTTTTGTATTTTTAGTAGAGATGGGGTTTCACCATGTTGGCTAGGCTGGTCTTGAACTCCTGACCTCAGATGATCCATCCATCTCAGCTTCCCAAAGTGCTGGGATTACAGGCGTGAGCCACCGCACCCAGCCAGGTGATAACTTTTTCTCATGCTAGCCGTTATCTTGTTATCTTCTGCTTTTATCAGCTTTTCATTATTCATGAGGCAGCCTTGTTCTTCTAGAACACTGGCCTTCAAGGATGCTTGGGCAGCGCTGTCCGAGTGCTGGGTGCTCTGCTCCTGGCCTCCCTCCTGTGGACCAGGCTCCTCTCAGTGGGCGTGAACCCCCGACAGATCCAGGGCCAGATGCTGCTGCCTGTTCTCTGCTGGCCCCCAACAAGATGGAGCAGTGCCCCAGTACTCCCCGGCCCCTAGCTTTTTAGTGACAGGCCTCGGGAGGCCCTGCCGTGCGGGGCTGAGTACCGGCAAGCAGAGGTGTCTCCACTGGCTTCTGGTCTGGGCAGCATCACAGTGGACCTGGGGAAGCAGAGCTTCCTTCTTTCAGGTTGAGAACCGACTGCATTTGGAGGCAAACGGAGGCAGGCACGAGGGTTCTGGAAATGAAGACCAGGTCCATGGACGCTCAGGCTGCCTTTCAGCGACTTCTAATTGTTGGACACCCCGGAGAATTCTACATCCGGCCACAGATGACAGAGTGGGCCGCCTGGTGTGGCTGGAACCTGTTACGTGATTGTCCCTATGGGCAAATGCAGTGGATGTTACAAACATTCAGATGTTCTTTAGCAGCTGAGTGCTAAAACACAGGCCTCCCTGGTGGCAGGCGATGGCAAGGTTTGCACACGGAGCCTTTGGCACGTGAGAAAGCTAGTGTTGCATTCGTCTGTCCACACTGATCTTAGAGTTTTTTTAATTTTTATTTTTGAGACAAGATCTCACTCTGTAGCCCAGGCTGGAATGCAGTGGTGTGAACTCAGCTCACCGCAGCCTCAACCTCCTGGGCTCAAATGATCCTCCCACCTCAGCCACCTGAGAAGCTGGGACTACAGTCATGCACCACCACGTCCAGCTAATTTTTGAAATTCTTTTGTAGAGACAGGGTCTCCTTATGTTGCCCAGACTGCTGGACTCAACAACTCTCCTGCCTCAGCTTCCCAAAGTATTGGGATGACAGGCGTGAGCCACTGTGCCTGGATATCTGAGGGTGTCCAGGCAGTTTGCTCATAGCGGCCACATCCACAGGGTGTCGGTGACATCATGCTACTTACATACAGCGGAAAAATTGATCATGGAATCTGGGCACACTGAAACCATCCATAAAAATGGATGATCTTTATTTTGATTTCAGGTAGTGACATGGTTTGGCTGTGTCCCCACCCAAATCTCGTCTTGAGTTGTAGCTCCCATAATCCCCACGTGCCATGGGAGGGGCCCGGTGGGAGGTCACTGAATCATGGGGGTGGTTATCCTTATGGTGTTCTCGTGATAGTGAGTGAGTTCTCATGAGATCTGATGGTTTTATAAGGGGCATCCCCCCATTCACTCTGCACTTCTCCTTGCTGCCGGCATGTGAAGAAGGACGTGTTTGCGTCCCCTTCCACCATAATTGAGGCCTCCCCAGCCATGTGGAACTGCGAGTTGGTTAAACCTCATAAATTACACAGTCTTGGGTATTTCTTCATAGCAGTGTGAAAACAGACCCATGCAGGTGGTATATGAAGTCTGCATGGAGCTGAGGATAATGAACAGGGAAGTTGAGGAGAGTTTTCAGCATCAGGGTGGCTTTGGAGATATGGCTGGAGCCCACTGGGTGTGGGCACCGGAGATACAGTTGGACAGAAGGGGTCAGATAAATCACCCAGCTTCCTTGCCCAAGAGGAACCAAGAGAAGGGACGAAAGCCACTTGCGGAGGCTGTTCTCACCAGAATCCCTGTCTCTGTCGGCCTCGGCCACCCTGGAGGCACCAGGACCTTTTGTTGGGATTAGGAGCTTGCCCATACATGTCTTTGGAAAGTCAAGATAATTGTGCAGTTTTATCTCTATTTTGCAGCTGATGTTTAAAATACAGCAAATGTGAGAAATATTTGACTTTTTAGAGTGCGATTCTAATAGACTTTCCCAGATTTGATGTCTATCTAAGACAAGCAATAAAAGATTGAGCAACGGAGTCATATTATCCAATGGCTCTCTTCAGCTAGGGGGCTGCAGACCCTGCGTTTGCTCAGGCCGAATTCATTCAAACATTAACTGATTAGTCTTCATTGTGCGTGGTATTCTCTAGAATCGTGACTTGTTGGTGAAAGCTGGGAAATAATTTGGACTCTCAGACCGAGTTCAAAATTGACCATTGACTTAGCAGCCTTTAAGGTGCTGTGAACAGTGCAGGGCACTTCAGGGACCCCTGGAGCAGCTCTGTTACTTAATGGGCGAAGACACGTTTTGGCGAGATTTGCCGATCCGCTCTCGGCCACACAGCGTGCCACATCCTCTGTGTGTTGTTGATAATGATGAGGGTGATGGCCTTGGAAAACCACAGCTTTGGAGCTGAGCTTTCAGAGTGGGCAGAGGCCCTTGTGGGAACGAGGGAGGCCTGCATTCCCCAGGTGATGCCTCACACCGGTTGTCCGAAGTCTTTTACCAGCACCTGCTGTGTAGAAAGCGTACACACTTGGGTGGCTTAAAACCAGTTCTTAGGGCCAGAAGTCAAAACCAGGGTGTGAGCAGGGCCGTGCTCTCCTGAAGGCTCAGGGGAGTCTGCTCCAGGGCCCTCTCCAGCTTCTGGCAGAGGCCGGCAATCTTGGTGCCCCTCAGCTGCAGACGTGTCACCCCAGGCCTTGCTTCTATCCCCATATGGCCGCCTTCCCTGGGCGTCTGTGTCCTCTTCTTATAAAGACACCGAGTCCCATGGGAGCAGGCCACTTTCACGGCCTCATCTTAATTTGATTACATCTGCCAAGGTCTTGTTTCCAAATAAGGCCACATTCAGAGGCTAAGGTTTAGGACTTGAGCACATCTTTCTTGGGGGACACATTCAGTGTACAACCCCCCCAAAAGGAAGAATATTGCACACATAATTACACTGGTGAACAGAGTACCTCAGTTTGTACATATGACAGTGCGATGTGATGGGTGGAACTGGGCTGCAGTTTAGAAGCTCAATGATTTTTGCCAAAGAAGAGCACTTGTGTCCTGAAGAAGACGACAGACACCACATGGACCGCGTGTAGTGTAGGTTGTTTGCATTCAGAACCACGCACTGTGGTGTGTCTATAATGTCCACTATGAGAGTGCCATTGTGTGGCGTGTAGTGTAGATTGTTTGCATTCAGAACCACGTGCTGTGGTGTCTATAATGTCCACTATGAGAGTGCCATTGTGTGGCGTGTAGTGTAGGTTGTTTGCATTCAGAACCACGTGCTGTGGTGTGTCTATAATGTCCACTATGAGAGTGCCATTGTGTGGCGTGTAGTGTAGATTGTTTGCATTCAGAACCACGCACTGTGGTGTCTATAATGTCCACTATGAGAGTGCCATTGTGTGGCGTGTAGTGTAGATTGTTTGCATTCAGAACCACGCGCTGTGGTGTGTCTATAATGTCCACTATGAGAGTGCCATTGTGTGATCGCCTGTGGCTGGTGCTGCAGGAGTCACACCCCGGGCCCCAGGCTTTGGGGTCATCCAGGACAGTCCTTGGCCCTGCCGGGTTCTGGGGATGTCGGAGCACCTGGTGGTCACCTGACAGCCATCGTGCCATGAGAGTTGAAGGTGCCAGGGCTGCTTTAGGCTCAGGACTGGGTCTGTGTCTCTCCGTCAGTTTCACCTGGATGTTGGTGTTGGACTCCGGTGAGGCTGTTGTAACAAAATGCATAGGCAGAGTGGCTCATGAGCAACGGGCCTTTATTCTCCAGCACTCTGGGGCTGGAGGTCCGAGACCGGGGGCCGGCACAGTGCCGCTCCGGGGAGGACTCTTCCGGGTTGTGTCCTCGCGTGGAAGGATGGGGCTGAGGGCTCCTCTGGGGCCTCTTTTCTAAGGGCATCAATCCCGTCCACACGGGCTCCCATCTCGGGACCTCGTCACCTCCCCAAGGCCCCACCTGCTAAGATCACCGCCTTGGGGGTGATGATGTCAACATGGGAATTTGGGGGGCAACGACATTCAGTCCATTTCAACTGGGAATGGGACAAAGCCATCGAGCTGCCCAAATGTGTTCAGCTACAAAGCAAAAGACTGGATTATGAGCTGAGCAGTGAGAGTCACTCGCTGAGAGGGAAATGCCAGCAAGGAGGATGCAAAGAGACCCCGTCATGAGAAAAACAGGGCAGCAAGAGCATTTTTCCGATTCACCTGGAGACAGGAAGGGGAAATCCGTGCCTGGTTGGGGTCTGGCACCCAGTGAGGATGCTGTTGCTTCTTCATGAGTTACTAAAGTCAATCCTGCTGTTTCCCGTTCCGTGTAGCGCTGTCTCATCCTGCAGTGAGCCGCGTGTCCACGTGACAGTGGGACGTGTAACAGGATGCTGCGGGGCCCTGGCAGGGCGTGCATGGAGGGAAACACATGTTTATGTAGCTAATTCTTTCCATAGCTATCTTAGAACAGGGAGAGGTTAAATGTACTGGTTTAGTGTGATTGTATTAATTTTATAAACGTGATGAATAAATCATGATGTGCTGCTGTGCCAAAGTTGACCTAAAGAGCTCAACGATTACAGTGACGTCTATGGCAAGGGTCATGGTTCTGATCTATCACATGGAATTTCTGTGCTAACTTCCCCGGCCCACACCTGCGTTGCTTTCTCCACGGTCAGCTAGGGCTCAGGGTGTACCTCCCATAAGAAACTACAGGTGCCTGCTGCAAGGACACTCAGCAGCAAGACACGCCCCACAGGGCAGAACGAAGACCAGGTCAGGGTTCCTTCTGGGATGTCAGACAATTGCTCGGAGACCCAGGCTGGTGCGGGATGGTGGCTGCCTCTCTCTCAGCCCGGCTCTTCTGAGCCCTGAGCCCTGGCCTTTGTCTTCTCTTCCAGCGAGGCCGGCAGACCCCAGCTCCTCCTCAGGTGTGACTTCCAACCTGCACCGGCGTTTTATCATCACAATACTGATCTCCGGCAGAAGAAATAGATCCAGAATTCTCAGTTCTCATCCCCATCCCATACCAAGTGAGAAAATTTAGGGCAAAACCAGAGCCTGTTTTCCACCAGACATAATTTTAGAAAGTTCTACAACGGGATTTTCCTAAATGTAAGGAATAAGGCAAAGCAGGACGTGTTTTCAGTGTGAGGACTGGCGAGAGCACTGCATGTTTAAGATGCTGCACTGGGCTGGGAGTTATGCAGCAGCGAGGTTAGCCTGGTTTTGCTGTTGCTGTTCAGTGAGATGCAAAAGCACAATAGAAAGACTGAAAGCCGTTACAGAGGAAATGGTCCCATCCATCTGCCCTTTCACGCGGTCGTCTTTTCATCATCGGCGTGCGTGGAGATTACAGGAGTGGTGGAGGAACCATTTATTATTATTTTCTGTTTCATAATTCAACCTCATACTGCAAGGGAAGGAGACAGGGTTTTTATAGGTGGCACTGAGTTTAGTGTTTTTCCTATAAAATAATTTCCACAAGTTTAGCTTCAGGCTCTCATTCTGATATAGGAGCCCTGATTCAGAATTCATTTTTTGGACATCCATAAAATGCACAATCCTCTGACTGACGAAACCCTCTCGGCGTGATTGCGGCCGCACCGTGCTGCTGGCTGCCCTGCCTGGCCAGCTCCCTTCTCTGCCCACCGTCTCCTTCGCGCCTGTCCCTCCACTGTCAGCTCAGGCGTTCATTCTTTATAGAAGCGCCCCTGCCTCTGTGGCTACCTGTGTCCCAGCAGCAGGTGTGTGTCTCAGCCCCCCGGCGTCCGCAGGTGGGGGGTAGGTGGTCGCTTCTCACCAGGCCCCAGCAACCTCAGGGCAGGGGTGGCACTTGTTCACTTCTGTGTCCTCCACACTCGCACACAGGAGGAGCTGTGGTGGCCACTGCTGCTGTGGGGTAACACATGCTACCATGTCCCTGGCACACAGGACTGTCTGACTGTGAGAAATGGCAGCTCCTCCTCCTCCTCTCTTCTCTTCCTCCCTCCTCCATCCTCTTCCTCTCTTCTCCTCCTCCCTCCTCCATTCTCTTCCTCCCTCCTCCTTACTCCTCCCTCCTCCATCCTCTTCTTCCCTCTTCCTCCTTCCTCTGTCCTCTTCTTCCCTCCTCCTTCCTCCCCCTCCTCCTCCCTCCTCCTCCCTCCATCCTCTTCCTCTCTCCTCCTTCTCCCTCCTCCTCCTTCCTCTTCCTCCATCCTCCTCCCTTTTCCTCCTCCCTCCCTCGCCCTCCCTCCCCTCGTCCCTCCTCCTTCCTCCCTCCCCCTCTTCCCTCCTCCTCCTCCCTCCTCTTCCTCCCTTTTCCTCCTCTCTCCCTTTCCCTCTTCCTCCCTCCCCCTCCTCCCTCATCTTTCACCATCCTCCTCCTCCTCCCTTTTCCTCTTCTCTCCTCCTCCCTCCCCCACCTCCCTCCTCCTCTCCCCTTCTCCTCCTTCCTCCTCTCTCCTCCTCCTCCCTTCCTTTCCCCTCTTCTCCCTCTTTTTCTGTAAATCCGCTCCGAAAACTGATCAGTAATGACAAGGATCAAGCTGCAGGTACAAGATTCACGTATTTATGTATTTTTCCCAATTTAGTCTCTTCCCAAGGTCATCTTTGATTCTACTTTTTAAAGTAGATGGCTAAACTTTTAGGAAATTAGAGAAAAAGTACAGCTATTTTAAATTTGTTTTAATCTAATGATAATGGAGTGGTCTAATTTCTTTTCTTTAAAATGTGCTCTTAAAGCTCATCCAATTTTTCTTAAGTTCCTCAGTGTTTATGGTGATGATCCCTTTAGAAAACTCGAACTGGCCTGATCTTTGAATTCCTTGACCAAATGAGCAAAAATGCTGGCTTTTGTGATAAAAGCAACAGTAGCCAGTGATAAGGCACAAGCCAGTTCACTTACAAACACGAATTCCCTACATACCACCAGAGAGGGCTACGGGGGAGACAAGCTTCACTGAAGATCATGGGAGACTTCCTTGCTGAAATTCCACATCATTTCTTCAAGAATCATTGACCTCACAAAGAACAAAACACAAACAAAAAACCCTCCAAATATAAAGTTGAAGACAATATAGTTGTTTTCTTTATTTTTATTGCCATGTAAGAAAGACATGGTAAGTGGGAAAACCAATGAATGATTTTGGCATATTCCACATAATACAAAAGTAGTAAATTTATGCTCTCACAATGAACATACAAAAGAAATGAGAAGAAAATAAAATATAAGGAATGTTTAGACTCAATAATGCAAAACGGCTTAGGAGTGATTCTATTTGTTAGTCCTCTGATCTAGCATTTATAAGTGCAAATATTTTCACACAGTCAGATTTGCGTCTCTCCCCTCATTATTACTTCAGGGAATGATGTAAATGACGGCATCTGAAGTAATCAGAAATCTTCTTTCTCTTCACGGTGCACGTTGTTCACATATAAATGACTCACATCAACTCAGGCATAGTCCTTAGCATAGAGCGCTGGCCTGTTTTATGTAGACACGCGTTTCTCTGTTTTTCCTCACAGCTAGATTCTTGCTTTGACGGTGATGACTTCTGCACTAAGATGAAAGATGGATTGACTCCTGGCTCCATGTTAGGCCAGCCTGGACATTGTTCTGGGGTTTTGGTTCAATTTGAGTCATTAAAGGAAAAAAATCCTCTGCAGCAATGTTATTATGTGATAACAGAAATACTTGTAATAACTAGATAATTTTAAGAACCTAAGTTCATCCGTCTGTTAATCTCAGCTGTGATTAAGGAGGCAACCCTAAAGCCCATTATTCCTAATGACAAGACCAAGCAGGCTTAAAGCATTAGCCGGCGGAGGCCACAGAGACGGATGCTGAAGGGTATCAGCAGTCCCGGCCACAATTGAGGGATTGGTCCGTCCTCCATACAACAAAAGTGATACAAAAGAATGACACCCTCGCTAGAGTCCATTTCCTCGTATAATCACACAAAATGATTTTTCTTAAATATGATAATAAATCACAGCAAAAAATCAATGTGGCAGGGCCCAACTGCTGTGGCCTGATAACGCATCAATCAATATTTAGTATTTAGATTTTAATTAATACATAGCTGTGCAGAGGCTTTTTAAGAGAGAAATATTATCTTAGATAAAAATTCCGGCACTGTTAGCATGCAAAAGTTGTTGCTCATATCTGTCATTGATCAATCCACTGGAGTTGTGATTAAAAACCCTTGAAAATATCAGACAAGAGGGTGAAAGAGATTGAACCAAAAAAAAAAAAAAAAAAGAACGTCACAGGCCTGTTTGCCTAGAAAATGGCTCGAGATGCTGGAGAGTCGGCACGGCCGCTGCAGCCTGTCAGGCAAGAGAGTCTGTTTCACACAGATGGATACGGAATTTAGGAGCTGGTGGAGATGTAGCCTGAGGCCTGTGTCACTGGGTCAGAACCAGAGAATTCTAAATGCATAACCCCGATTCCCTCCATCCCTTCCTCCCGTCTTATTAGATATAGTTTTGGAAGAAAGTTTTCCCTTGATGAGAAAGTATTTAAAAATAATTTTATTTTATTTTATTTTTTTAGTAGAGATGGGGTTTCAGCATGTTAGCCAGGCTGGTCTAGAACTCCTGGCCTCAAGTGATCCGCCCACCTTGGCCTCCCAAAGTGCTGAAGTTACAGGTGTGAAACACTGCACCTGGCTAAAAATAATGTTCCTGTTGGGAGATCCACATCTCTTCAGGGATGCTCTTAATTTCTTGCATTTCCTTTGACATATGAATACATGGGCTATTCAAATTGAAACTGCAAATAGGTGGGCTGAGATTTCCCTTTCCAAATCTCGAGGAGGACCGTGCGTTCCCTCGATGAGGTTCGCACACTGTCTTCCTTGCTGCTCAGCCGGCCCCTCTCCCTTACTGCCCATCACCTCATATCTTAGTTCCCACGACCTTATGTGAACCAGGAGTTTACAAAACCAATCCCCAGGGAAATGACTCTTCTTTTGGTGTCCCCAACCTTTGATATTTACCAGGTGTTTTATCAAGTAGAAAATGTTTCTTTGCTCTTTCGGGTCAGGTGACACAATCAAAGACAAGCAGTGAAGACGGAACGCCCGTTTTTGAAGCTTCTTGGGAAGAGGGTGTAAGACAATGATGCTAAGTCCTTTTGGGAATATCTGGTGCTTCTTATGGTTTTCTTTTAAATTAGTTCCCTTGCTGGGTCTTCTCCTTTCTCTGTTGATTTTACCTTTTAGTGTCCTCTTTCCCGCTCACATAGAGAGTGAGCTGCAGCCTCTGGCAGAATCGCTAAGTCTACTGTTCTTTAGGATGACCTCCCGATGCAGCAAACCCAAGGTCAAGGGGAAATTCACCCACGTAGGCCAGGTTGGATGGGTCTAGAGAGGAGAGCGAGCTCTCCAAGCTTCTTTCCCTGATGTCTTCTTGAAGGCGTGCTGGATTCCTCCTTCCGTATCTTCACATCGCGTGTGACTTGGTGCAAAACTCAGTGGGTGCCCACTTGGGAAAGAGGGCTGCTTTCTGGTGGCCCACGCTGTCCGTGTCCCCTGGCTGTCATGGCAAACAGAAGAAGGAAAAGGCGTTTCAAGGCCATTGAGTCGATGCCAGGAGGATTTTCCAAGCAGGGTTCTTATCTAGGAGGATGTGAATTGAGGATTTTGGCAAAAACAGAAACCTCAGAAGGTTGAAGTGATTTGTTCTCAGTGGAAGAGAAGGAAAGTTTCTCCAGAGCCTGTGCTAATGTTGAGGCAAAGAGTTAAACAAACAGAAGCAAGAAAAAGCACTTAGGAACTCCTGCAGAACCCTGGAGACATGGCACGACGTGCCTACATTTCCAGGTCGTTTCCCATCATTGGGAACCCTGAGAGGCCCTTGGTTGTGGCCAATGGTCATGAAAAGTGACAACAAATTGGTTTCTGAGAGTCAAAGGACAGTAGGATTATTGGGTAATGGGGGTCCCTGGTGGAATGTGGGTTCAGGGAAGGTGGCGTCGATCCACCAGGCTTCTTCACCAAAGTTCCAAGTGGAATGTTCCAAGCTGGGGAATGTAGCCAGAGGAGCACCATGGAGGAGCCGGGAAATGCCTGGGTTTATAGGTACTGCAGAACTGCAGGATCAAAGGTTTACCTTCTCCCCTAACCATTCCGCCTCCAGGACTTTCTCCTGTGGAAATAATCAGATAAGCACAGACATTTGTGTATGAAGAGACTCCCTGCAGTAAAGCAACAACAGAAACAACCCTCACCATGCGACAACTAATTACTCCGCCGTGGAGGAGTGCTTCGTGTGAGGCACTGTGTAAAATACAGTCTGTAGAACACAGACTGTAAAATACAGTTGCCGAGGTCATCATGTTCAGAAGAATCCTCAGTGACACTGGGGGAAATCTCAATTCTGTGAAAGAAACAGCGACAGTGCCTGGAAAATTAAAAAAAAATTCATACGTGTTTTTGGGACATGTCCTCACGTTTCATTTGAAGCAGAAAGGGAGAACTCAGGTTTGCAGGCTGTGATTAGGGTCGATTCTCTGCTATCCCCGAGCTCAGGTTTGCAGGCTGTGGTTAGAGTCGATTCCTGCTATCCCCGAGCTCAGGTTTGCAGGCTGTGGTTGGGGCGGATTCTCCGCTATCCCCGAGCTCAGGTTTGCAGGCTGTGGTTAGAGTGGATTCTCCGCTATCCCCGAGCTCAGGTTTGCAGGCTGTGGTTAGGGTCGATTCCTGCTATCCCCGAGCTCAGGTTTGCAGGCTGTGGTTAGGGTCGATTCCTGCTATCCCCGAGCTCAGGTTTGCAGGCTGTGGTTGGGGTGGATTCTCCGCTATCCCCGAACTCAGGTTTGCAGGCTGTGGTTGGGGTAGATTCTCCGCTATCCCCGAACTCAGGTTTGCAGGCTGTGGTTGGGGTCGATTCCTGCTATCCCCGAGCTCAGGTTTGCAGGCTGTGGTTAGAGCGGATTCTCCGCTATCCCCGAGCTCAGGTTTGCAGGCTGTGGTTGGGGCTGATTCTCCGCTATCCCCAAGCTCAGGTTTGCAGGCTGTGGTTGGGGTGGATTCTCTGCTATCCCCGAACTCAGGTTTGCAGGCTGTGGTTGGGGTGGATTCTCCGCTATCCCCGAGCTCAGGTTTGCAGGCTGTGGTTGGGGTCGACTCCTGCTATCCCCGAGCTCAGGTTTGCAGGCTGTGGTTAGAGTGGATTCTCTGCTATCCCTTAGCCCTTCAGTGGAACTCTGCTGGTTTCAATCCTAATTCAGAAAAAGCTATATTTACCAAGCCTACGCCTGCATTTGGCAAACACCGAGTTCCTTGATTTTTGTTTTCCTCCATTTCCCCTTTTTTCACGGGATGTAGCATCATCTTTCAGGCTAATTGAGCCCAAACCTGGTCTCTTGTTAATGTCAAGTGGTTGCCCTAAAATGCTTCCCCCAACCCCAAGATCTTTAGGAGCTGGCCTCCTTCAGCCCTACAGATTAGACCAGAGTTTCTAAAGCACCCGTATTAGTCTGTTCTCACACTGCTATAAAGAAACATCTGGGCCGGGCGTGGTGGCTCACGCCTGTAATCCCAGCACTTTGGGAGGCCGAGGCGGGTGGGTCACGAGGTCAGGAGATCGAGACCATCCTGGCTAACACGGTGAAATCCCATCTCTACAAAAAAATTAGCCTGGTGTGGTGGCGGGCGCCTGTCGTCCCAGCTACTCGGGAGGCTGAGGCAGGAGAATGGCGTGAACCCGGGAGGCGGAGCTTGCAGTGAGCCGAGATGGCACCACTGCGCTCCAGCCTGGGCGACAGAGCGAGACTCCGTCTCAAAATATATATATATATCTCTGAGACTGGGTAATTTATAAAGAAAAGAGGATTAATGGGCTCACAGTCCCACAGGCTGTGCAGGAAGCATGCTGCCGGCCTCTGCTTGGCTTCTGGGGAGGCCTCTGGAAATGTTCAATCATGGGGGAAGGCGAAGGGGGAGCAGGAGGAGAGAGAGAGTTGGGGAGGAGAGAGAGTTGGGGAGGAGAGAGAGTTGGGGAGGAGGGAGAGTTGGGGAGGAGGGAGAGTTGGGGAGGAGAGAGAGTTGGGGAGGAGGGAGAGTTGGGGAGGAGAGAGAGTTGGGGAGGAGAGAGAGTTGGGGAGGAGAGAGAGTTGGCGCACGCTTTCAAACAGCCAGATCTCACGGAAACTCACAACCGTGACGACAGTGCCAAGGGGATGGTATTAAACCACAAGAAACCGCCCCATGGCCCCGTCACCTCCCAGCAGGCCCCACCTCCAGCACTGGGGGTGACAGCTGAGCATGGGATTGTGGTGAGGACGCAGAACCAAACCATATCAGGGTCACATGTTATATTTAATCAAGCCCCATAAAACAAGCGAGGTGAAAGCTTGGAGGTAAATGCATGTTCTCATCCTAGAGGGTTGAACTTAAGAAATATTATCTGCAGTCAGACCTTTAAATAGATGTAGACTGAAGTCCCTTATGTCTCAAACCAGTTTTTCTTTTTTTTAAGCACCTCAGAGAAGAGGGCGATTTGAAAGTAAGGCCTGGAGGCATCTGCGAAGTCACAGAGGGGAGGAATGACCTTTTATTTGCTTTAGAGCTTTTTGGGTTTTTTGTAATAATCACATTAAAATAATAGTCATGTAATTAGAATAGAATAAGATTTTATCTTTCAAAGGTAAGGCAATGGAAAGATATTTATTTGTGAAATAAAATCAGCAACCATATCATGAGATTGATTAAAAAAGCAGCCACTTTAACTTAAGGTTCCAAAGGCCTGAGCTGTGAGGGGTGTATGATGTCGCTACCAAAATAATTCCACGGTGTTTGCTGAGGCCTGACATATGCAGGCCGTGGTACCAGTGTCTTCGTGGAGGTGGTGGCCCTGCCCCGCATGCCAGTTTGCTGCAGGAGTCTGGTGACCATGCTTGTTAGCTGGGGGATGCGTGGGCTCTGGGAGACCTGAGTCTTAGGTTCCAGGGATGACCCTAGATGTCCAGCACTGAGCAACTCCTTGGTGACGGGAGTTATTGAAGTCACAGCCCTTCTCTGAGGCAAAACCAAGTTCGTGAGTAAAAACAGTGTGGGAGGGGAAGAGCAGTGGACACACAAATCTACATGGAGGTGATTTGCTTTCCTTCCTTTCTTTGTTGCTGTCTTTGTTTTGCTCTAGGAGAGACAGAGAGCGTCTCATCTCATTCTGCAGATGATGAGCGTGGTTTTGAAGCCAGGTGTTCTGCACTGGAGGGCAGCTGTTGATCTTCCTCGGCTGCCAGCCCAGGCTCATCTCGGGGGTGGGGGGGTTTGTGGTGGGACGGCCCTCGTCCTGCCTGGCTCCAACGCTCAGCCTCAGGGGCATACGGTGCTAGCTCTTGGTGCTGGGCGCCTGAGACCCTGTGTCCCTCGTCCCCTCAGCCTGCGGCTCCCCGCTCCCTGCTATGTCTTGCTGGTGGAGGGAAGGGGTGCGGGAGCAGGTCCTTCTGCTGGAGAGTTTTTGGGGACTCGGTGTGAATGCAGGAGAGCTGGTGAGCACACTTTCCCTAGGGGACAGCTAGGAGGCTCACGAGTCGGGGGGGCAGGGTGGGAAAACACTTTCCCCCCTTTTTTTCTTTCCTTCTCCACTGTCCAGCAGGCCTGTTGTCCCTGCAGGCCCGGGGGAGCCACCTTCTAGAAGTTGCATAACCTTGGCCTGTTTCACTCAATATCACGAGCACATATTTTATGCTCATTTACATTTTAAATGGGTACATTTTAAGTCCCATCCTTTTTGAAAATATGAAATGCTTCCTAGAATTATATGTTGGACAATAAGATTAGAACTGTCTGGAGTATTAACTATGAATAAACTTTTAATAAACTGGTGATAAGAATCTTACTGAGGGAAGCACCTCAGCCTGGCTTCCAGCTGGAGAGGCCCTGGGCAGGTGGGGCCCAGGCCGTCTGCGGTGGGGCCAGTGTGGGAGGCTGAGAATCTCTGTGTATTGATGCTTTTTGTCAGTTCTATGTGATTCAGCCTTGGCCACGCCTTGGGGTTTGTATGGCCATGAAAATGAAACTCCAGCAGACACTTTGGTTTCCAGACCTAGCATTTGCCTCCAATGGGCCATGACTCATACAGACATAACGTACATTGATATAGACAAGCTTGTGATATGCACATATATCAAACGGCCAGACTGGGAGAAGATAAAATGTGGTGGGAATAAAAAAGTGGTCAAGAAGAAATGAGGGAAGTTTGACTTAAGCCTTCAGTGTGTCTAGGGAGAATTTGTTTTTCCTTTCTAAAAAGAGTCAAGAAAGGAGATCACAGCTGGGAAAGACGTTTAATAAGACAGAGCTGCACCAGCCAAGCTTTTCAGACAGGGGCTGAGGGCAGAATGTGTTTCTCATTTGGTTTGTCTTCGCCCAGACAACAGAGGATGGGCTGGTTTGAGGGTTGCATGTTGCCAGGAGGGTATCTCTGGATGTTAATTTTTCTACTGTAGCCTAAGATTTTGAGATAAAAGATTTGAACCTAAAGGAAACCTTTCTAGGACTGGAAACTCCTCATATTGTGGATGGAGAATTCTATTAATAGTATTGATACCCACACGAGTCAGCCTTAAGGAAAACCACGACAAAGGAACAGGGGCCTCCTGACAATTACTGTCCAACTCCGATGAGACTCCAATGGAGAGAAATGTCATCATTATTGAGTACTGGAGGGACAGATATTTTGGTGACAGATTAGAGCTTGTAGCAAAACTCAGATGACAATGCAAAGCCACTGCCTCTTTTGCCTGAAAATTGGACTGAACACCTTCTTGTATCCCAGATTTTGCCCTTTGAAAAAGGCAGCTATGATTCAGAGAAGCCAACAATCATAGATATTTATGAGATAATTGGGGCATTTGATAATATGAAGACACTTGTTAGGTATTTAAGATGTGATAGGCCAGGCGCGGTGGCTCACACCTGTAATCCCAGCACTTTGGGAGGCCGAGATGGGCAAATTACCTGAGGTCAGGAGTTCGAGACCAGCCTGGCCAGCATGGTGAAACCCCGTCTCTACTTAAAATACAAAAAATTATCTGGGTGTGTTGCTACGCACCTGTAATCCCAGATACTTGGGAGGCTGAGGCAGGAGAATCGCTTGAACCCGGGAGGCGGAGGATGCAGTGAGCCAAGATCGTGCCACTGTACTCCAGACTGGGGGACAAGAGCGAGACTTTGTCTCAAAAAAAAGAAAAAAAAAGTGATGATGATAGGATTAGGTTAAACAAGCAGAGGTGTTTGCCAATGAGATAATATGCCCGGGATTTGCTTTAAAACAACACAAAGCGGGCCAGGCACAGTGGCTCATGCCTGTAACCCCAGCACTTTGGGAGGCCGAGGTGGGCGGATCACAAGGTCAAGAGATCCAGACCATCCTGGCCAATGTGGTGAAACCCCATCTCTACTAAAAATACAAAAATTAGCTGGGCATGGTGGTGCATGCCTGTATTCCCAGCTACTTGGGAGGCTGAGGAAGGAGAATCGCTTGAACCCGGGAGGTGGAGGTTGCAGTGAGCCGAGATTGCGCCATTACACTCCAGCCTGGCAACAGAGCAAGACTCCATCTCAAAAAAAAAAAAAAACCCAAAAAACCCCAACCAACCAATCAACCAACCGAACAAGCAAAAAACACAGAGCGGGTGGAGAATTGGGGAGCATGAGCTGAATCGCCCGTGTGTCGACAGCAGCAGAAGCCGGGTGGTGACGGGCGCTCCGGCTTCGCTGTATTGATCCATCCATCTTTATGCATGTTTGGAAATTTTTGTAAGATGTTTGTTTGTTAAAGGTCAGCTATTACCCATGGTGACAGACCTGAGATCAAGCTCAGTGGTCTGGCCCCTGGGCAACCACCAGCCCCATCTCTTCACAGCTGAGATCAAGCCAAGTGGTCTGGTCCCTGGGCAACCACCAGCCCCATCCCTTCACAGCTGAGATCAAGCCGAGTGGTCTGGTCCCTGGGCAACCACCAGCCCCATCTCTCCACAGGTTGGTTTGAATTGGGGCAAATGCACATCCCTTGAGAGAAGGGAGTTTGGAATATTCATCCTCTCTGCCTCTTTTCTTTTGCATGTGACTGTCCACCTTCCCAGCTCATCTCCTGTCTTTCGTCAGCACCTGTCTGTGGGGGAAAAGGTTAGGTCAGGTTTTAGTGGGTCATTTCAGATTTTGCAGTAAGACTTGCTACCATTTATTGAACCCAGGTATCACATTATATGTTCTGCATATATTCCCTTTAATCTTCTCAATCATACTGAAATGTAGCTTTCATAACCCAATTTTATGCATGAGAAAACCGAGGTTTGGAGATGGTCTGCACTGAGAGAGGCCGAGCCAGGTATGAGCCTGGGCTCCAGCCCTGCCCTGCCCGTCTCCCGGTTCGTGGCCTTCCTGAGCTCTGGCCCCGCCCTACCTGTCTCCTCTTCCGTGCGGCCTTCCTGGACTGTGCTACCGCCCTGCCCACATCCCTGGCCCGACGTCTTCCTGGTCGGTGCTCCTGCCCTACCCACATCCCTGGCCCTCAGCCTTCCTGGGCTGTGCCCCTGCCCTGCCCACCTCCCTGGCCCTCAGCCTTCCTGGGCTGTGCCCCCGCCCCGCCCACCTCCCTGGCCCTCAGCCTTCCTGGGCTGTGCCCCCTCCCTGCCCACCTCCCCGGCTCTCGGCCTGTGCCAGCAAAGCAGCCCTGCTTCTGCCTCCACAGACACTCAGGTCCCAGGCTGGGCCTGGTCATCCTTGCAGCTGGAAACTCTTGGCGGAGTGTGAGCCCCACTAAGGCCAGGCAGCTAACGTAGATACCTGAGTTTATTCTTTGATCTCCGAGGCAGTCTGGGCCCATGGTGTGGACCTGGAAGCGTGCGTGTGTGCTCACGGGTGGAATTTGGCCGTTAGCTGCACCTGTGCTCCCGCGCTGCCTGGCGGCCATCCCTGATTTCTCTGCCCTGGCCAGGGCGTGCTGATTTGCTCTGGTTCCTTTTTCATTTCTCTGATGGTCGATGGAAACTATTAGTTCATTTCCAGCATTGGACAAATGTCAGTTACTTAGCTAGGGTCACGGGTTTTGATGGGAGAATTGGGCTAATGGTAGTGATGCCAGTGATTTCTCGGCTGTCATTGTAGATGGCAGAGATATTCCATCTCTCACTGAAGGCAGCCCAGTGGATTTTAGTCAAGTTAATTCGAATTGCACTCTAAAGCTAAATGAAATGTTTATTTCTATGTTGGTAAATGGTATAGAAAAAGCTGCTATTGAAATGACATTTATTCATAATTTGGTCTGTTAGGAATATGCACGCTGAATGCTGATTTGTTTACCTAGATGGAAAATTGTCTCTTACGGAGATGAAAAGCATACCAGATTTCAGTTTCTTATGGTGCGTGTGTGTGTGTGTATGTGTGTGCGCACCTGCTCACACATTGTGCGAGCACTCACCACACTGAAGGGGTTTTGTAGACATTGCTTCACGATTCTCACACCTCCACCTGAGGTTTGTGATACTGTCCCTTTGTTGTCACCATCACTGCAGCTGTTGTGCAGACAAAACCACTCAGCTTCCTGAGGCCAAGTCACTCACCCAAGGTCACTGGCTCACAGGGCAGGGCTGGGCACAGTCTGGCCAGCCCCCAGTCTCCCGCCCGGTGCTTCTCCCTCCCCATGTCTGAGCCAAAGCCTGCAAGTCCTCATGTTGGCACCCACCCGTCTACCCACATGCACCCCTGGGAGACTGCTGGCTCTGTTCTCGGCTCGCCGTGGAATTTCTCCCAGGGCCACCCATGTTCACACACGGACACAGGGACTCCTGGACCCAAGCAGGCCTATGTATTCGTTCCCCAGATAATCAGAGGCACCGATAAAATAAAGCTTCCAGCTGATGGGCATCCGACAGACAGGGCTGTTAGTTTATGTGGGCTATAGGCAGAGTCGACTGGAAAGTTTTGATCACTTTAATTTACTATATCCAGCATGCCTGCTGTACTCAGCCGGCACTTTTATCAAGCCTTGTGAGGCGGTATTGATTTTTTTATTTTCTGTGTAGGATAAGAAGACAGAGAGTTAGGAACAAGAGTGAATGAAGAACTTTCCTAGATTGCTGCTTTCTCCAGCTTATTGCGCGCTGTCGTTTGTGGTTTCAGATGATGGCCAGTACGTCCGGGCTGCCCGCAGCAATGAGCAGGCTGAATAACAATGGAAGGCCAGACAGGAGAGATTGAAAAAGGAGAAAGAGGCTGCTGGAAAGTGAGAAAGCGCATGTGAGAAACAGGAAAACAGGCCGGGCTGAGGGAAAAGTGTCCAAGGTGTAGGTAGCCCCATCAGCATGTTCCGTTAAAGTCGCTGCAAACTGCCAGGACAGTTTTTCATCGAAGAGTCTGGCTGCAAAGTCTACAGGGAGGAGAACCA